>NC_000007.14:94324960-94627991 GCF_000001405.40 Homo sapiens | reverse complement strand
ATGACAGTCTAAATTTGTGAAAAAAATATGACCTTAAAAGAGATTATTATAATATGAATTCTATTTGAGAAAATAATTGTAGACTTGATAGACTTATTTGCTCTGTATTTTGAATTCAAGTTTTATGTTCATTGAAATATAGCCATCAACAGACATATACCCCTGCTACTTGCCAAGCATTGTGATAGGTGCTTAGGGATAGAATGATAAATAATAGGTGAATCTTGCCCAGTCTTCTTACAATTCAGGGGTTGGAGGACTGGGATGTAAACAAATACTTAGCCAACACTGTAATAACTGCTATAGTAAGAAGGTGCTGTTTGATGCAGAGTTGTAAGAAGGTAAAGAATTTACTTGACAAAGTAGAAGGAAGGCCATCTTGGGCGGAGGAAACAACACATCAAAATCTTAGAGGTATAAGAAAAGTCACATGGTCTCAGAGAACTATAAGTGTGGCTGGAATAGGATGTACCCTAGTAGGTAAATGATGGGAATGGGAGGCGTTGATGCTGGTAGGGGCAGATCTTTGAGGGCTCTGTAAGCCATCCTGGTACGTTTAGCCTTTATTCTAGAAGTGATGGTGATGTTACCATTCATCAGGTCCTCACCAGCACCTAGCATTGTAGCTGGGAGATACTAGAAATTAACAACAACAAAACAACTGTTACATTGAATCTTTAGTAGGAATTAATACAATACTTTAAAAAAATGAATGGATGTATAAACTAAAAGAATACAGCCTTTCAGAGGATTACATACTATGAATTTTTCTCCAAAGTTTTAGTCAGCTGTGTACTGTGGATGTGAGCTTCCACATTGGCCAATTCAGTTGGAATTGAAGTTTGTATTAACTGTTCAGTGATTTCTATCTATAAATCATATTCCTTAAGGCAGTGTAACTATAAGATAGACAGGTACTTAGAAGAAGCATGTTAGTTTGAGCTATTGTCAAATTAATTTTTTTAAATATTCAGTAAAAGTTATAAAAGAAATATATAAATGCAATTCACCACATTATTAGATTAAAGAAGGAAAAACAGCATAATTGTCATGATAGTTATGGAAAAAGTGTTTATTAAAATTTACTACCTATTCTTGATAAGAAAAAATAGCTCTTGGCAAACTAGGAATAGAAGTGAAGTTCCTTAATTTGCCAGTTTTTACCAAAAGTAATAGCAAACATCATTCTTCATAGTAAAATGTTAGAGAAATTTCATTTAAATTCAGGAACAAAACAAGAATGACTCTGTCTGATAAATCTATTACAGAATGTATTGGAGGTCCCAGCCAGTACAGTAAAGAAAGAAAAAGAAATTAAATCCCTAAGGATTTAAAAAGAAGAAATGGAAACCATCAATGATATAAATGGTCTGTAGACTATTAAGAATCTTAAGAAAGGCTAGCAGTGAACTGTGAGATCATTATAAATTACTGTTATATTTCTACACATGAATAGCATGTATTGAGAAAATACACGTTTTTAAAAATACCATTGTTAATAGCAACAAAAATGTTGAGGTACTAGGAATAAATCTAACAGAATATATGCCAGGTCTCAAGTCTAGGTAGATTAGGGATTACATGTAAAATGCAAATTTTTAAACAATTATATTAAAATGTAGAAAAATCTCTTTGACCTATGGATAGGGAAGGATTTGTTAAGTAAGACCTAAATATTTTTAAGAGAAAAAATTTATCAATTTCACTATATGAAATTTGTGAATGTCTGTTTATCAACCATTAAACCAGAGCATGATTTAAAAAGACAACCCACAAACTGGGAGAAGATATTTTCAACACATATAGCTGACTAAGAGTATCTAAAATAAAAACGAAATCCTGCAATTTAATAAGAAACAGATATTTCACTAAAGAGGAGACACAAACGCCAATAAACTTAAGTAGCTTGCTCTTATGGGTAATGAGGAATATTCAGATGGAGATCACAATGAAAATTTTGCCATCAGTAAAATGCATTGCAGGTGGATGTGGGAGTTGGCATCACTACTTTGGAAAGCAGTACTGAATATCTCATACAGTTGAGTATCCCTGTACCTTATTATCTGGCAGTCCTACTTCTAGCAATATGCCCCAAAGAAGTACTTGCAAATGCCCTCCTGGAGGCAGGTACAATCATGCTCATCAAGCAACATTTGTATAGCACAACACTGGAAAGCCACAAAACAATAGAGACCCAAAAGTCTATCAGCAAGAGAATATATTAATCTTGGTGTATTCACACAGTGAATGTTCAGAGCAATAGTGAACTTAAGCTTGCCCAGCAATATGGATAAGTGTTTTAAACACAATGTTCAATTAAAAAAAAGTACTAGAAGACCACCTGTAATAGTTTGCCATTTTGGTAGAGCTCAAAAACAGGCAAACTAAACCATATGCTTTAAGCATTCATGCAATTATAATAAAACTGTATTTTAAATGAATGGATCGTTAAACACCAAATCCAGAATGACTACTTCTGGTTGGGGAGAGGTAAGGGCTTAGGCTAGGAGAGAAACACATGTACTGGGATGGTTTCATAAGAGTTCATTGTGAGTGCATTCATTATATACTTTATGACTAACATACTGTGTTATGAATATGTATAAAAATATAGTAAAAAGATAAAAAAAAGAAAGTTTACCATATCTTTCATATAATATAGTGACTTATCTGTAAATAGCTCATTTTCACATTCATTTATAGTAACAGGTATAGTATTTTAAAATATTCTATTTAGTCAAGAATTTTTGTATCTTAAATATATAATATTTAATCATATAAGTCTACTAATTCATTCAGTAGATTTTTATCTGAAATATTTAGATTTTAAGTATCTAAAATAGATCAGCTCTGTTTTAGAAATTGGGGAATCAAAAATAAAGTATGCACACGTAGACACTCACATTTTCTTCTGCTTTGACGGTCTTCACATCATCATAATAAGTAAAATCTGAGGATATTACAGCAGTTAAATGTCTCATTGGAAGTGATAGAAGGACTACATTCTGTTATAGCTGTTAAAATTAAGCATCAACTATAAAATCAGGTAATAAAATTCTTCCTCCTGATATGAAATATTCTTCACTCCCTTCAATAGTCTGCATTATTTAAAAATAAAGACATTTATTGGAATTTATGAAACTTATAATAATGAAATTTGTGATGATTAAGGGAAGGCTACCCATAAAAATATTGCTATTAATTTGAAAAAATCTATTTTTTTTCTAAGCTGAAGCTTCATGATATTGTAACAAATAGTAGAGGATCATACTTTTTATTGAAAATGTGATTAAATTTTTTGCAGGGTAAACTTTTCAAATGATTAAGTTTCTCAAACAAAATCTATTTTGCATTTTTTGTATGTTTCATTTGAGCAAAAGTTCCTAGTTTGTTTAATGGCTAGTCTTAATTTTAATGTCCGGTGTGAAATTAATTGATCATGTGTCCCAACAGATAACAGCAAGGAAATAATTAAATATGATGGAAATTTGGCAAATCCTGGAGAGAGAGGTTCTTTTAACTTTATGGAGTAATATGCCTTTCAAAATATATACCTTTTAAACATTGTTAAAAGTTTAAAATTATTTATTTCAAAATTCTTACTGTTCTAACTCAGTATTTTCAATGACTGCAACTTATTTTTTGACACATGTAATGTATAAAAATCTTTGATATTTGTTTTAAAATGCACAAGATATTTATTTTTAGTTGAAGTCAGTTTTATCCTACTCTTTTGTCTCAGTGTCACCTCCAGCTGCAATCATTGCCAGAAGGTTAGTGCTGGGATTCTAAGATTTTGACACAATCATTTGTTTTTTTTTTTTTTTTTGAGGTACTGCAGATGTGTCCGAATGATTTAATATCTGTTATAAAGTTAAATAGGCCTTAAGTTTTGAAGCCATATCCTGTTGTTGGCCTTTGCTTTGTGTGTTGTTTGCACTGGCTGTTTCTGAATTGACTTTGATGTAAGTCTATTGGCTCTGCAAATGTTTACTAATATTTGCCCGTATGAAGGGATTGATTTGTGTTTTTGAGCATGTTCCATAAGCTTCATGGACTATGATCCTTACTACTTTACTCCCATCGTAAGTGAGATATGATTTCCAAAGGGTTATTTATGACATTTTTTGACTGATTGGGGTGCAGTTTAGTACTAAATGCAAAAAAACACAAAGATATGCTTGTTTTAAAGTGTACTTTTCATTATAATTCTTAAACTCCATTTAAAAGTACAAAAATTATTGTTTTTTTTTTGAAATCTTAGAACATCACTGGTAAGTAATTCATAATGGTTAATCCATTTACTAATGATGCATCTGCATTGCTACCAGTGCTTAATGGCCTTCTATGAAAGAGTCTTTCTGATTTTAACTTTTTGTTTCAGTATATTAAATAGACCTGACTAATTATTTATTTTCCCATAATATTGCTAAAAGCTCTGAGTTCTCATTGCCCAGAGAAGGAATATTTTGTAAGTATATCAACAAATAATGAAAATGGAAAGAATGACAATTTGTTTTCATTTTAATCCTTAATGAATTTCATTTTACAAAGAACATTTCACTTCTTTAATATGGTTTTCCTTTTATAATAGATAACTGCCTACAACAGGCGCACCTTTGAGACTGCAAGGCATAATTTGATAATTAATATAATGTCTGCAGAAGGTAGGTATGAAAATATGTTGATCATTTCTTATTTATAAGAAGTATTTCATTATGTTTTATAACTACATAAAATATAGTCAAGAATTTTAAAATGCCACATACCTAATATAACTGATGAAATAATAAGATATAGAAAAGAAAACTAAGCAATATGTAATTTATTATGAAATATTATGGTGTGTTATGATGGTGAAAACTCAGATAGGAAGCCAAACAGATAGTCCTCTTATTTCTCTAAGCCTTTTTCATTACCTTAAAATGGGACTAACAGTAGCATTTCTCTTATAAGTGTGGGGTAAGGATTCACAAGTTAAGGCTGGAGCACTGCACTCCAGCCTAGCTGATAGGGTGAGAGCCTGTCTCAAAAAAAATAATTACTAACTAGTTTTATTATTTTATTTAAAAATTTACTGTAGGTAATAGTCTAAGTATATGTGATAATATAGGGTTTCTGGAAAACAAATAAACCATAACTTAGGGTACAATTTCCTTCCTAAATAGTTTATAGTGTATTAGTAATTTGTAGAGTCTTTCAGCAATTTAAAGTTTCATATGCTCAAATTGTAAGTGATTTCCTAAGAATTTTGAAGGTTAGGGATAAGGAAGTATTCTCAGAATTACACTCTCAAATATTTTAATCAATTGGGAAAATATCACCAAATACTTTGTAGTTAATTTTCTTTTTTTTTTTTTTTGAGATGGAGTCTTGCTCTCGTCACCCAGGCTGGAGTGCAATGGCACCATCTCGGCTAACTGCAACCTCCGCCTCCTGGGTTCAGGTGATTCTCCTGCCTCAGCCTCCCGAGTAGGTGGGATTATAGGCACCTGCCACCACACCCGGCTAATTTTTTGTATTTTTAGTAGAGATGGGGTTTCACCATGTTGGCCAGGCTGGTCTCAAACTCCGGACTTCATGTGATCCACCTGCCTTGGCCTTCCAAAGTGCTGGGATTACAGGCACGAACCACCACACCTGGCCTGTAGTTGAATTGTATAAATCATGGAATGATCCTCCCTATGTTAGATATCATTTATGAGAATGACAGGAGGGAAACTGATCCAGAATTTTTTCCCTCTAAAAACAAGAAAACAATTGTGCATTCTTGATAGGGGAATTTTTGCTTCTATTTACTAGTGCAACTAAAAACAAATGAGCAAACACCAAACATTTTATCAGAACCTACTAATTTAGCATTAATGATAATGCAGTCAAGGCTGGGTTAAAAATTACTTTTACACGATATGAAAGAAGGAATTTCTGTAAAATTAAACGTGTATGGAGAGATTGCTTGAACACTTAAACCCCCTTAAGTGAATGTTTTCCCCCAGGTGTTTACCGGTATCAATTGTAGACAACAAATGTGCAAGTTTAAAATTTAAAATGACCTTCATATATGAAAAGCAAGTCCAAGTGCCAGTTCTGTGGGCCTGGACTGAAGACTCCCTGTCCACTCTGCCACTCCCCAAAGGCTTTTGGTAGGTATTTATGTTTGGATCAGGGAGATTTTTGTTCTTGACTACAGTGGTGATTGGATGCTTACATGCTGTCTAAGCTGGCCCTGTAGAATTGGAATACACTTAATGAGCAGAATAATTGAAAAGTTTCCTTCCTCCTTAGGAATTCATCATTACAGTTATAAAGTTATACTACAGTGGCCTTGGACCATCTCACCTCACCATTATGCTCTCAAAGGGACTCGAAACTCTGTCAGGTGTGAGAGTCCCTACAAATTGAAAGCTTGTTCTATAGTTTGAACTTCTTCCTTCTCAAATCTAGTCTCAGTGCTGTAGATACAGATTACTCAAGGCATCTCAATAGATGTTGTTGTTGACGTATGAGGACCTGTGGTCAAGTAGATACTAATGGAAGACTGCTAGACAACTGTAGGATTGAAAATTGGCAGCAGGGCTCTTTGTCTAAATAACGGGTTTGGAAGGTGTGCTAGTGAGAAGGAGTAGTAGACAGGTTTTAGAAGCCTCCACCTTTACTCCAGGCAGTGCTTGTTCCTCTGCTTTTTGTGTAGGGTTAGTGGCCCAAACCTATTTGAACCACTGCACTAAAGTCCATGCATTTGTCCTTGCTGGTCTAGACAGAAATGTATATGTGCAGTAGGATGTACATGTTTGAGCATGGCCTACACTCATGTTATTTATCCCAGATTAGATTTAGGAAAAGAAATAACAAAAGTTATATATCAGGGTAATCATGCTCTGTCCAACTCCCTGCCCAGCTGTCTCCTGTTCTGAGAGATCTAATGGGAAATTAGTCATGTAGACTCACACCGCATGAAGCTCAAGGAGAGTACATAAAGTGATTCTCTAAATTGGGTTTAGTGCCTCAGAGGCCTGCCACCAATCTGTTGGCCTACTGTTCTCTTGGCCTCTGTGATTTCCAAATATAGCAGGCATGGGATTTCCCCAGAGTTAGAAAGCTGCTGTGACTCATCTCTGGGAGGCCTGGCAGCAGCTCTTGGATGGGTAGATAGCAGGCAGCTGCCCAGCTCAAAGCCTCTGAGGGGTGTGGTGGCAACCACAGGCTTTGCAGCAGGTCTCAGAAAAGGAGCCATGAAGCTGGGTCACGTGGAACAGGAAAAGCCAGATAATAATTCTCCAAAAAGTAGCACTGATCATAAGAAAAAAGTTTTAGATACTTTTTAAGAAAACTGGATGTAAAAACATTGAATGAAATGAATAGATTTTAGACTTCTGGCATATTCAAAAGCTGTATTTGTATTATTTATAAATATTTTATTATTTATTGCCAAGAAACTTTCTCATAACACATTTCTGCATGACTATTTCTAGGTATGCAGATAAATGTAGCATGATTAAGCTATTTATCTGTATAAAACAGGAAATATGTCTATAAAACGAAATTTATTTGCATATATGAGAATAAATATATTTTAAATTGCAGATGGGCTATACATTAAGGAAATCTAACAAAATTGTAAGCAGAACAAGTGACAATATAGGAGATAAGCAAAGAACTTTCTATGATTAGGGCTTTGAAAAACTAAATCTTTAAAAAGTGATGACCACACTCTAGAAAACTCTGTTGAAAATTCTGAAGCGTTAGTTTCTTCTTTGACTTCATCTCAGGCATCAAATGTCCTTTAATAGGATGCTTCATAAGAAATAAGTTAACCAAGATTTTAGGTACTTAATGTAATTTTTATTTTTTGTTCATTAAATAAAAGTGGAATATCTTACAGATACATGAATTTTATTGAAATAAATGAGAGGATATACATAGTGTAATTACTACTGGGGACTTTAAATCTGTGTAGCACCTAGAAACATTTTCTTGTCTTTTTAAAGTAAAAATTCAGATAATCAACCTTTTCATATTATTATAATTAGAGCTAACATTTAATATTTTATAGGCTCCTACTATGTTTTGGGAGCTCTGCTGAGCACCTTATATATGCAGTCTCTTTTAGCATAGATAAAAGTCGTACAAGGTAAGTTCACATTATGAGATAAGCTTCTGGACCTCTCTAAAGATAAGCTTTCACGTATGAAAGTACAATGAAAAACACAAGCAGCTACACACCCTCTTGTTGTGAGAATTAAATGTTCTAATTCACCTAAGTCCCCTAGCTTGGCCTGCCTCACAGTACATACATTTAAAAAATTAACCTTTATTCTTACAGAAATATTATTAAATAAACAGAAAGCTATTATTTATCGTAAGAGAACAATTAGAATATAGAGAGTGATGATTTGTAATTGAAGAGTAGCATTTGAGTAACAAATTATATTTACTTACAGTTTCTCATATTGAAAGGCTGAATTTGACATGGGGTTGTTTTAAGATGTTAATCATGAAATATTTAGAGGGAAATTTTGATGACACATTGAGGAGGAAAAAACACTAAATCTCCAACAATGTGAAGTGGAATTCCATGAGAACTTTATAATTTTTCTAGAATATTTAATTATAGTGTGATTAAAAACTGTGGAATTGTTCTGGTTTTTAGAATTCCTTTTGGACATATAATTGATTTTTATTTCAGAAAAAGTAATATTTTAGCATGCTCCCCAAAAGATCAGTAATATTATAAATTTAAAATGTAGATTTAGCTTTTCTTAGTTGTTTTGCCAAATTCTATAACTATAAATTGCCCTGATGAGCCTCTGATGAGCCTTGGATTTTATTATATTGTAGATAAAGTTCTGTTTCTAATGTCAGTTATGTTTTTAGATACATCCTCTGTTAAACAGAAAGCCTTTAAAGTCAGTATTAATATTGCTTCCTGCTGCCAGGATTATGACAGAACTCAACAAATCGCAAATTGTTCTTTTGTTTCCTTTTTAAAAGACTACTTCATTAAAGATATGCATGCCCTTTTTCACCAAAATTAGACTTCCCGTTGCCATATCAAGCAGAATTCTTCATTAAGAATATGAATGTAGAAGAAATGTTGGCCAGTGAGGTTCTTGGAGACTTTCTTGGCGCAGTGAAAAATGTGTGGCAGCCAGAGCGCCTGAACGCCATAAACATCACATCGGCCCTAGACAGGGGTGGCAGGGTGCCACTTCCCATTAATGACCTGAAGGAGGGGTAAGCAGATCTTTATCTCATTGCCTTAAATATAGATTTTTAAATACGGTGATCTTATCAAACTTATTATAGATGGAAGATGGCCTATTGCATTTTTCGTTTTAATAAGAAATAGATATTGTAAAGATATGAACATACTAGTAATTTTCTATATTGGCAAAGATGTTGTGTTAGTGGTTTTTTATATCTCAAGTTCCTGGTCTGTGAAATCTAATTGTAGATGAGGATCAGCATCATAAATTATAGCACTAAGTCTTTTGTACCTTCCATTAAGAAGCTGATTATTTAGGGCCATGAATTTCAAAGGAAATTGACGCCCCAGTTATTAGCTGCAGAAGGATGCACAGACTGCTGTAACTTTATTCTAGGAAACTATTTCTTCATCTTTAACATTCTTTCCACCATGTGTCAGTGACTGATGGCTGGGGTGGATTTGAAACCCATTCCTGTGACACAAAGGCCTAAAGCCTGACCTTGTCACTCACAAGCTGGGTGACACTGGGCAAACCCTGAACTCCTCAGTGCCTCAACTTCCTCATCTGTTCCTGTGGGGATATGTTCTCCCTCAGAGTTGTTATAATGATTAAGTGAGATAATGCATTTGAAAGGTATTTGTCAGTTCTGAAGCTGTGCAGATAGAAAGCATGACTTCTGACCTTGTGGAGGTCAAGAAAGAATCCTGCCTGGGTAAAGTTATTATCAAGACAAACTTTGATCTTTAATTTTTAATCTGTAGGTTGAGGCAGATTTGCTTTTCCTACCTCAATCCTATAAAAGTATAGTCTGTGGAATAAATCACATTTTGCATAGCATATTCCCCTTTCAACTTCTTCGCCCATAATCCTGGAAACACTTTTATACAGGTGATATCTAGAATTAGCTAGAATACCTGGATTAGTAAGAATTAAATTTAAGGATAGCTTTAAAGGAGAACTATGTACACATGGATGCAGTCTGTGGGTAGGTAAAAGGCAGATGGGGAAAAACAGTGAGCTGTAAAGTCCAACTTAAAAATTTCAGAATTAAATTTTATCTTCTGTTTTATAGCAATGGATTTTGAAATCAGTCAAGCATACATAGAAGTCCTTTGAGGAAAATGGTTGCTTTATCTCTTGTCTATGTACCTAGTTGGCTTTCTATATGAAAACATAATTCTAGAGCTTAAATTTTTACTTCATAGTTACAGTTACAACATGGTTCTCTTTCCTATAAAGTAATTAAAGCAGAACCGTGGAATGAGATGAATGGGGGTATCTTCCCTGAAGGCATTCTCCAAATATGGGGTTTTTAAAACAGTTTTCTTAAGGTAATGTGTTCCACAATTGTTAAAACAATGACCAAATAATGTTGGAGGAAACAGCACAAAAACAAGGCATTGGTAGAGTTTTTCATTGTTGTGCTTTATTCTGGTCTCACTTTTTCTCGTTAGTAGTGCAGGTCCCACCCGTCGAGGTACTTTTAGAACCTGAACTAAACTAAATTGAACCAAGCAACTCCATAAACCAAACTGTGACCTAAAGCACTGCTTTCCAACTATGTCTAGCCTGAAAATTGCCAATAGAACATTACTAAAAATATAGATAGGTTCCTGGCCTTTGTTCCCCCTAGAGACTGATTCTTTGAGCCTAGGGCTGGGCCTGAGCATGTGACTCTATATTAAGAACAGAATTTTTGTCCTACAAGTACTTGTTTGAGAATTCAATCACTAACTGACTGACCCCCAACACCCAACACCTGCTAGAGGGTGGCACATGCCGTCAGATATTTGAGAGAATCAGTCCCGTGGCATTTATTTGGACTCTTGTCTCAGATCCCTTCCCAACTTGAAACGCTTTCCATGAGTTTTAATTTAATGTTAAGCCTTAACCTTTACAAAATATTCATATGGAGTCTTTTAAAATAGCATTTCTATAAATTGTACGCAATGCCAGCTCTATTACTCCAGTGTGTCTGTATACAAACACTCATAAAATAAAATCTTACTTGAGTTATAATTCGAAAAAAAAGTTTGTCGCTGCAAATGATTTTGCATGTTTTCTTTAGTTGTTATATAAAATCATGGTAATAGAAACAATTTTTTAGCCCTGTTGCCTTAAATTTAGAAAAAAAATCCAATGCTTAACTAATACTTTATTTCCTTTTTACCTGTGTATATTATGATTTTTAATTCACTTAATATGCTTTCTGCCTTTGTATATTCTTTTGAAAATATCAGGGGCTATAAATCCTTTAAAAATGAAATATTAAAAAGATCAAGAAATAGGTTCAGAGCTAGCAAAGGAATTATATCCCTTGTAAAAATTTTTGTTTAAAAATATATTCATACACTTCAGAAGTATTAACTAGGCACCTAATAAATGTGCTTTGTGTAATACTTAGCATAAGTCTTAGTCCCAGATTTAAGAAAAAGATCTCCATGAAATTATTTCCTATTTATTACACATGTCAGCCACAAGTAATAAGTGCAAAATTTTTCATATTTCATATGTATAGTCAGTTAAACAGCAGATGACCAAGAGTAGCCCTCAGTAGTAGAACCTCAGAGTAAATCTACTACCGTTCTACTGCCTGAAGTGTCATTAAGTGTCAGTCCCCATGAGCCCAACCTGCAGCATCTGAGCTCCTCATCCTTCTTGATGAGCATTTTTTTTAATCTCTGCAGAACTCACTGACAGCTTTCAAACTTCTCCTAAATCAAACAGAAAGTGATTATGAAGATTTACTTCAAAGTGAATAAGCTCCTGCAAAGGAAGGCTGAGCCCTCTGAAAAGATTCATTTTCACTTGCCAGACTGATAACCCCAAGGCAACTGTGCTGTTTCTGGGCATGGTCTTGGTGCTACTTTTCCTCCTGATGCTGAGCCAGAGGCTAAGGCCTTGTGGATGTATTTAGCCTGGGATAAAGCTGGTGGGAAGAAGAGCAGGTTCATATTTCATTCCAGGCATGTCATGGCTGCCAACCACAGGCGAGTGATGTAGTGTAAATGGTGGCTATGAAGGGAATGATGGGGTGTGAGGATTAAAGAATATACTCACTTTTCCTAAGAGATTGTCAAACTTACCACTATTTCCTCTGGTTACCAAAGCATGTGGATCCAGTTTCAATCAACAACAGAGAATCCTATTTTATTCTCTAGACCATCTCACAAAGTACTCCCACTGATTGTCTGCTTTTTGCTGTATGTCAAAGGCCTCAGTGAGAAGTTATACTTGAGGAAAAGAATGGAAGTCAATGGCTGCCCAATATTGGTCTGATGGAAAGTCATGATCCTGGGCCAATTTCAGTAGAGTTCTGAAATTGTCTCTATCTATGGTAACTTACAGAATTGCCCTTTATCTATCTATCTATCTATCTATCTATCTATCTATCTATCTATCTATCTATCTATCTATTTATTTTGAGACAGAGTCTTGCTCTGTCACCCAGGCTAGAGTGCAGTGGTGGGATCTCGACTCACAGCAACCTCTGCCTCCTGGGTTCAAGCGATTCTCCTGCCTCAACCTCCTGATTAGCTGAGATTACAGGCACCTGCCACTGTGCCTGGCTAATTTTTGTATTTTCAGTAGAGATGGGGTTTCACCATGTTGGCCAGGCTGGTCTGGAACTCCTGACCACATGATCCACCCGCCTTGGCCTCCCAGAGTGCTGGGCTTACAGGCGTGAGCTACTGTGCCTGGCTGAATTGCCCTTTATTCTTAAATGATGTCCCTCCTATAATTTTGGTACAAATATCCTTTATTTTATGGAATAGTGGTGATATAGAAATATTTGCAAATGCCTTTAATAAAATTGGAAACCTGTATCAATTTTTATAACAAAAAAACAAATGAAGTCAATGCAACTATATGTTTAATATCTACTCTTCTGAGTTCTATCATTTTTTCTTTCATAGTTTAATGTTTATTCAGTATTTTTTTAATGGGAGAATATTTTATTAGTCTTTGGAGTACAGTGATTTTAAAAACACAATCTAGGCTTGCAGTCTACTAGGGAGCAGGCAAATAATCAGATAATTAAAATCAGTGTTTTAAGTACCACAATTGAGGCATCACAGAGAGGGCTCCTCTCTCACTACATTTCTACACCTGAAAAAGGTTTATAGAGGAGCTGAAGGCTGACTGAGTTGAAAATATAAGTACAAATTAGCCTGCTGAGAAAATGAGAAATGGGAACGCTATGCAGGGGAAAGGGCTTGGGCGAGTACCGAAGGTAGGAGAGAGCATAGTGGATTCAGAACTCTACTTAGTGTGGAAATGGAGAAAGAGATCCAGAAGGGGCAAAGACCAGACCATGTAAGACGTTGTCTTCTGGGAAAAGTTATTTGGATTTCATCCTGAAGCATTAGGGACCTGTGCAGGAAATGGTTGATACTAAAATTTTTGTTTTAGAGAGATCACACTTGTAGAATAGGGAAGACTGAATGGAGGAAATGCTGTGTGGATATAGGTGCTGGGATTTTAGGGGACCCAATAGCATCCATTTTCCCCTGCCAGAGGATACATGAACAAGAGGAACATGAACACATGAAAAAATTCTTTTAGAATTTAGTGCCAATAAAACATTTAGGTCTCTAAGGAATAGTCATGCTTTCCCCTCTCTAATGATGAGAACTATGACATTTACTGTGTTTTTTTTTTTTTTTTTTTTTTTGATTTCAATTTGGGTACAAGAAAATTAAGTGCCAAATGCAGTGCTCTGGCTTGCAAGAGAATTATTAGTCCTGTCAAGTTTTCAATGTTTTCCTAATTTCTGGTGACTTTTTCACTTGTTTATTTTATTATATGTGTTTTGCTATAATCCCATACATCTTTCATTCTTTATTTTGTATCTTACTTTTTGATTGATTAATTGCAGGTATGTACATTAGAAAGAAGTTGGGTGGAGGAAAAGGCAGGAAGTTTTGTGCTGCTGCTTTTGAGTGCTCAACATTTCCCAGGCAACATGTAACATATATGGACATATTCTTCTCTAAACTGTCTTTTATCTTCTATATACATAAAATAACAAAGTATATTCATTAATTGGGCAATTAGGAAAAAATACAATCATTGGATCCATATATTTGGCTATTGCTGGAAACAGTGGAGTTTCTACTTAAATTGTTTACCATTACTTGTTTCTTCACATTATAAATGTAAAGGCCTCAATAAATGCATTTTACCTCAAAGAAGAGAAATTGAATTGTTGGGATAAAAAAAATTCTTCACAAGAAACAACTCTATCTAGTGCACTCCAGTCTCTAGTCTTTTGAAGTACCAGGTTTTGTTAGCATTCATTGAGAGCCTTATACTTGATAATAGCCTCCTGTCTCATCTGTTTATACACATTTGAAATTTGAAAACATGTGCTAGGGTCATAAAGGTAAAGATCATTCTCATTTTCACTTCATACAAATTTTAAATTTTGACAACAACTAGCTGAAAGGAAAACAACATTATGAAAAACATAATTTTAGCATGTGTAGCATAGTTATTATTATTACACATGGACTCAGACAAAATTACATATTTTTAAAAGCCAGTGTGTTCAAACTTAGTGATTCTACAAAAGAAGCCATAAATATACTTTTTAAAAAAACTTAATGAGACAAATCCAATATCTCCTGCTTCTGAGCATGACATCTGTGTTCCGTTTGTTTTTAAACTGGTATAATGCTTTTCATTCATGCATTCATTTAGCCAGTAGGCTACCTGAGGACAGTGGCAAAGACTGGGTTCAAGGAGCACCATTAAGGGGCTGTTCCTTCACTCCCTGTGGAAGGTGATGGTGACTAGAACTACAGTTGTAGCAGTGGGACAAAACAAAGTGGACAGGTGTGTATGAGAGTTATTTCAGGGTAAATGTCAGAGACTGATGATGGATTGAATATGTGGAGAGAAGGAGAGGAGTCAAAGAGATGGTGCTTGAGTTCATGACTTGAGCATTTGGGGATGTCAATCACCAAGAGAGAAGAAGATAGAAGGAGGAACAGGTGGAGGTGGGGTGGGGTAATGATGAGCTCAGTTTGGAACATATTAAGTTGAAAAGCTTATGGATCATCCAAGTAGAGATGAAAGTAGTTTGGCAGTATGTGTCAACTGTCATAAAAATGTTTCCACTTCTAGACCTCTCTTTTAGGATAGTCACATTAAAGAATATGCAGAGATAGTCTTTGTAATATTATTTATAACTTCAAAAAATTGGAAGCAACTTAGTTGTCCAACTCTGAAATAATTGCGGAATAAATCATGTGTACTTAAAAAGAAATTATACTGCCATAAAACTATAATTACAAAGATTACAATGTGGAATATGCTTATGATGCAATAAGTGAAAAAGCAGGATACAAAATTATATTTTAGAGATTATTGCAATTAGATTAAAATATATGCATTTGAAAAATATTCTGCAAGGTACATTGGAAAATGAAAATAGTTCTTTTGGCAATATAAATGAGTTTTGTTTTTATACCTCAGGTTTTCTGTAATGTTTTTATACTGGTTTTATAATTTAAGAAAAAAAACATTTCAAAGCATGAAAATCTCTTATGCCCATTTATGTTACCTTGAGAGGAATTAATTAAAAATCTTACTAATTGCAAATACAAATCAATGTCTTGTCTAAGCAAGAGGGCCATTAACAGTTGTAAGAAACATTCATTTAATCTCGGTCCTTACAAATATATTTCACAATTACCAAGGAAAAATATGGTGTTGCCTTGGTAGTTACTAAAAGGATAGAAACTGAATGTATGCAAGGCTTAAAAGTAATAACTTGTTTTAAATCGAATATGTTTATATCCTCTGATCATCTAAATACCAATGGTTTCTCATCTCTACTTTTGTTCTGAATTTTTAATTTGATCTTTAATTTTGCCCATTATTTACTATTTGTTTCCCAAAGGTACAATAGGTTTTTTAAAAGATAATCTTTCAAATGAGTCTTAAATCCTAATATAAATTTGATGTGTAGAGCAAATGAATTTGTGTGAACATATTCTCGAACACAGTTGTCATCTCTGGCTTGGTCATGACTTCATATTTACATTTACATAGCTTTGAACTTTTGTGCTGTACTTTTATTTCATTTCATTTTAAAAAAATAACAGCTTTATTGAGATATAATTCACATATCATACAATGCACCTATCTAAAATGTACAATTTTAAATCGTGACTTTTAGTAAATTCACAGTCATGCAATCATTATTATAACCAATTTTAGAAAGTTGTTATTATCCCAACACCACACACCCACCCTTGTACCCATTAGAAGTCACCCCCACCCCCACCCCTACCCCTAGGCAGCCACTAAGGAACTTGCTGTCTCTATAAATGTGCCTATTCTGGACATTTTGTATAAATGGAATTATATAATATGTGGTCTTCTGTGACTGGCTTCTTTCACTTTGTATAACATTTTCAAGTTTCATCTATGTTGTAGAATAAATCAGTATTTCATTTTTAATCATGGAATAATATTCTATTTTATGGATATGCCATCTTTTGTTTATCCATTTATAAGTTGATGAGCATTTGGGTTGTTTTCACTTGTTGACCATGAATGATGTCATTGTGAACATTCATGTACAAGTCTTTGTGTAGACATATATTTTCATTTTTCTGAAGTATATCCCTAGGAATCGAGTTGCTGGGTCATATGGTAACTCTGTATTTAACATTTTGAGGAATTGCCAGACTGTTTTCCAAAGCAGATGCATTTTACATTTCCACCAGCAAAATAGGAGAGTTCCAACTTTTCCATATCTTCACCAGCACTAGCTATTATCTGCCTTTTTGATTATAGCCATCCTAGTGAAAGTGAAGTGGTATCTCATTGTGGTTTTGATTTCTATTTTGCTGATGGCCGGTGATGTTGAGCATCTCTTCATATGCATATTAGATATCTGTATATCATATTTGGAAATAGGTCTATTCATATCCTTTGCCATTTTTAATTGAATTATTCATTTTTTGATTAAGTTGTAAGAGTTTTTATATGTTCTATATACAAGTCCTTTATTAAATATATGATTTGCAGTTATTTTCTCCTATTCCATGGATTGTCTTCACTTTTCTTAATGGTGTTCTTTGAAGCACAGAACTTTTTTATTTTGATAGAGTTCAATTTATTTTTTTTCTGTTACTGCTGGAGCTTTTAGTGTCATATTTTAAGAATCATTGCCTAATCCAAGGTCATATTTACACCTGTTTTCTTCTCAGAGTTTAATAGTTTTAGCTCTTAAAGTCTTTGATTTTTTTGTGCGTATACTATTTTTAAGAGAATTTTTAGGTTTATAGAAAAATTAAGCATAAGGTGCAGAGATTGCTTTTGCATCGCCTCCCCCATTATCAACATCCCCCACCAGAGTGGTATATTTGTTACAAATGATGAACCTACACTGACAACTCACTATCACCCAAAGTCCCTACCTTACATTAGGTGTTACTCTTGGCGGTTTATATTCTGTGGGTTTGGACAAATGTATAATGACATGTTTCCATCATTATAGTATCATACAGAGTAGTTTCACTGCTTTAAAAGTCATCTATGTCCCACCTGTTCATCCCTCCTTCCCCCCAACTTCTGGCAATCATTGATGTTTTTACTGTCTCCATAGTGGTTTTTCTTCCAGAATGTCATATAATTGGAATCATGTAGTCTGTAGCCTTTCCATATTTGCTTATTTCACTTAGTAATATGCTTTGAAGTTTCTTCCATATCGTTTCATGGCTCGATAGCTTATTCCATTTTAGCACTGAATAATATTCCATTTTCTGGATGTACCACGGTTTAATTATCATTCACCTACTGGAGGACATCTTGGTTGCCCCCATATTTTGGCAGTCATGAACAAAGCTGCTATAGATATCCATGTGCAGGCTTTTGTGTGGAAATAAGTTTTAACTCCTTTGGGTAAATATAGGGAGAGTGATAGCTGGATCATATGGTAAAAGTATGTTATTTTGTAAGAAACTGCCAAGCTGTCTTCCAAATTGGCTACACCATCTTGCATTCCCACCAGCAATGAATAAAAGTTGCTGTTGCTTCACATCCTTGCCAGCATTTGATATTGCCACTGTTCTGGATTTTGGCCAATCTGTGTGTTGCGTATCTCACTGTTTTCATTTGTCTTTCCATGATGATATGTAAAGTGGAGCATCTTTTCATGTGCATATTTACCACGAGTATAACTTCTATGGTGAGGTGTCTGTTAAGGTCTCTGGCTTTTTGTTGTTGTTGTTTTTTAGACAGAGTCTTACTGTGTCACCCAGGCTGGAGTGCAGTGGTGCAATCTTGGCTCACTGCAGCCTCTGCCTCCTGGGTTCAAGTGATTCTCATGCCTCAGCCTCCCAAGTCAAGTAGCTGGGACTATAGAAGCATGCCATCTTACACAGATAATTTTTGTATTTTCAGTAGAGATGGGGTTTCGCCATTTTGGCGAGGCTGGTCTCAAACTCCTGGCCTCAAGTGATCTGCCCACCTTGGCCTCCAAAAGTGCTGAGATTACAGGCTTGAGCCACTGCATCTGGCCTCTGGCCCATTTTTAATTGGATTGTTTGTTGTTTTATGTTTTAAGTGTTTTTTGTATATTTTGGATAACAGTCCTTTATCAGATATGCATTTTGCAAATATTTCCTTGTAGTCTGTGGCTTTTTGTACTACTGGCAGTGTCTTTTGCAGAAGAGAAATTTTTAATTTTAATTAAGTCCATCTTGTCAATTCTTTCTTTCATGGATTGTGCCTTTGGTGTTGTAACTAAAAAATCATCATCAAATCCAAGGTCATCTCGATTTTCTCCTCTATTATCTTCTAGAAGTTTCATAGTTTTGCATTTTGCATGTAGACCTGTGATGCATTTTGAGTTAATTTTTGTGAAGGGCATATGTATCTAGATTCATTTTTTACATGTATAAGTCTAGTTTTTTCAACACCATTTGTTCAAAAGACTGTCTTTCCTCCATTGTATTGCCTTTGCTCCTTTGCCACAGATTAGTTGAATAGATTTATGTGGGTCTATTTCTAAATGTGTATTCTGTTTCATTGATCTATTTTGTCAATTATTTCCCAATACTACACTGTCTTGATTGCTGTAGCTTTATAGTAAATCTTGATGTTGGGTAGTGTCAGTCCTCAAAATTTGTTCTTCTCCTTCAATATTGTTTTGGCTATTCTGGGTCTTCTGTTTCTCCATATAAACTTTAGAATAAGTTTGTTAATATCTGCAAATTAACTTGCTGAGAATATGATTGAGATTACATTGAATCTATAATTAATTTGGGAAGAACTGGCATATGGACAATATTTAGTCTTCCTATCCATTAAACATGGAATATCTCTCCATTTATTTAGGTCTTCTTTGATTTCTTTCATCAGTTTTGTAGTCTTCCTCATACAGATCTTGTACCTATTTTATTAGACTTATATTTATATTTAAGTATTTTATTTTGGAGGGTACTCTGTCGCCCAGGCTGGAGTGCAGTGGCACAATCTCGGCTCACTGCAACCTCTGCCTCCTGGGTTCAACCCCTGGCTCAGCCTCCTGAGAAGCTGGGACTACAGGCGTGTGCCACCATGCCCAGCTAATTTTTGTATTTTTAGTAGAGATGGTTTTGTCATGTTGGCCAGGCTGGTCTCAAACTTCTGACCTCAGGTGACCCACCTGCCTCGGCCTGCAAAACTGCTGGGATTACAGGTGTGAGCCATCACACCCGGCCTCTGTTTTTAATTTCAAGTTCTACCTGTTCATGCTGGTATATAGGAAAGTGATGGACTTTATTATATTAATCTTAGTATCAGCTCTATCAGCTCTTGCCTCATGTATTTTGATGCTTTCTGTTTTGGAAGGTTATTACTGATTCCTGCAACGTTGCTGTAATCACTCACTAGTTTTAGGAGTTTTTAATCAATTCTTTTGAATCATATCATCTGCAAAGAAAGACAGTATTTAATCCTTTCAAATCTGTATACTTTTTATTTTCTTTTTGTCTTTTATTACATTAGTTAGGACTTCCAGTATGATGTTAAAAAACAGTGATGAGAGGCAACATTCTTAACTTTTTCCTGATACTAGTAGGAAAACTTCAAGTTTCTCATTTAGAGTAATGTTAGCTGTAGGTATCAAATTGAGGAAATTCCCCTCTATTCCTAGTTTACTAAGAATTTTTTTTTTCACAAATTGCCATTGGATTTTGTCAAATGCATTTCCTGCATCTGATGATGCTGTCATGTGATTTTTCTTCTTTAGCCTGTTGATGTGATATTAACTGATTTTTGGATGTTGAACTAGCCTTGCATAACTGGGGAAAGTCCCAGTTGATCATTGTGTATAATTCCTTTTATACATTGTTGAATCTGATTTGCTAATATTTTGTTGAGGATTTTTGCACCTGTGTTTATGAGAGATGCTGGTGTGGTGTGTAGTTTCTTTTCATGTAATGTTGTTTTCTGGTTTTGGTATTAAGGTAATTTGGGTTTCATAGAATGAGATAGGAAGTATTCTTTTGGCTTTTGTCTTCTGAGAAATATTGTAGAGAGTTGGCATAATTTCTCCCTTAAATGTCTAGTAGAATTCAACAGTGAACCCATCTGGACCTGATGCTTTCTGCTTTAGAAGATTATTAATTATTGATTCAATTTCCTTACTACATATAGGCCTGTGCAGATTATCTGATTTTTTTTTTCTTCTGCTTACTTTGGATTTCATTTGTTCTTCTTTTTCTAGTTTCCTGAGGGGGAGGTTTCAATTATTGATTTTAGATCTCTCTTCTTTTCTAATGTATGCATTCAATGCTATGAATTTCCTTCTAAGTATTGCTTTTGCCAAATTGTAAACATTTTGATAAGTTATGGTTTCATTTTTATTTAATTCAGAATATTTTCAAGTTTCATCCAAGATTTCTCCTTTAATCCATGTGCAATTTTTGAAGTCTGTTGCTTAGTTTCCTAGTAGTTTGGGATTTTTCAGTTATCTTTTGATACTGAGTTCCAGTTTAATTCTACCGGGGTCTGAGAACAGACAGTGTATGATTTCCATTCCTTTAAATTTGTTAATTTTTTATGGTCTGGAATGTTGCTAAATGTTTCATGTGTACTTAAGAAGAATGTGTATTCTATTTTTGGATGAAGTAGTCTCTAAGTGTCTATTAAAACCTGTCGACTGATGATGATACTGAGTTTCACTATGTCTTTACCAATTTTCTGCCTGCTGGTTGTGTCCATTTCTGATAGAGAGATGTTGAAATGTCCAGCTATAATAGTGGATTCATCTATTTCTCTTTGCACTTCTATCAGCTCTTGCCTCATGTAATTTGATGCACTGTTATGAGGCATATACACATTAAGGAGTGATTTATGTTCTTAAAGAATTGACCTCTTTATCATTATGTAATGCCTTTCTTTGTCTCTGATAAGTTTCCTTGCTGTGAGGTTGGCTCTGTCTGAAATTAATATAGCTCCTCCTGCTTTTTAGTTATTGTTAGCATAGTATATCTTTCTCCACCCATTTACTTTTAATGTATATGTGTCTTCCTATTTAAAGTAGATATTTTTTATAAAGAGTATAGTTGGATCTTGTTTTTCAATCCACTCTGACAGTCTCTGTCTTTTCAATGGGGTATTTAGACCATTGATGTTTAAAGTGATTATTGAGGCCAGCCATGGTAGCTCACGCCTGTAATCCCAGCACTTTGGGAGGCAGAGGCAGGCAGATCACCTGAGGTCAGGAGTTCGAGACCAGCCTAGCCAACATGGTGAAAACCCATCTCTACCGAAAATACAAAAATTAGCTGGGTGTGGTGGCGGGCACCTGTAGTCTCAGCTACTTGGGAGGCTGAGGCAGGAGAATTGCTTGAACCCAGGAGGCAGAGGTTGCAGTGAGCTGAGATCTGCACTCCAGCCTGGGTGACAGGGCGAGACTGTGTCTCAAAAATAAAATAAAAATAAAATAAAATAAAATATAAATCTACTATATTTGTTACTGTTTTCTGTTTGTTGCCTTTGTTTTTTGTTTCTATTTTTGTCTTCCACTCTTTTCCCACTTTTTATAGTTTTCATTGAGCATTTTTTATGATTGTTTTCTCTCCTCTTTTAACACATCAGTTGTATTTTTTAAACTGTCTTTTACTGATTGTCTTAGAGTTTGTAATATACATATATAACCAATCCAAATTCACTTTCAAATAACACTACACTACTTCCTAGGTATTGCAGGTATCTTATGATAAAATAATCCCTGTCTTTCCCTCATCTCTCTTGTATCATTGCTGTCATTTATTTTGCTTATCTATAAGTGTATATAAACATATATGTAGATATATACATTTATGGATATATGGTGAATAGATTGTTGCTATTATTTTAAACAAGTTATCTGTTAGATCAATTAAGAAAAATAAAAGGTTTTATCTTCACTTATTCCTTCTCTGATGCTCTACTTTTCTTTATGTAGATCTGAGTTTCTGACTTATATCATTTTCCATCTCTCAAAAGAAGTTATTTTAACATTTCTTGCAAAGTAGTTTCACTTTATTCATTAGAGCCCTCTGCATATTAGTCATAGTTGTTTTAAATTTCTGGTCTGATAATTTCAACATCTCTGCCATATCTGATTCCGGTGTGATGCTTGTTCAGTCTTTTCAAACTGTGCTTTTTGCTGTATAGTATGTTTTATAATTTTTTTCTTGCTAGCTGGACTAATGTATGGAGTAAAAAGAATGAATATAAGTAGATCTTTAGTAATATGGTGGTCAGGTGTTGTGGGAGGGGAAGAATTCTGTAATTCTATGATTAGTTTTCAATCTTTTAGTGAACCTATGCCTCAGGACCATGAATTTCACATATGCTTCTCATTTGCCTTCTTAGGTAGGACGGGATATGTGGATATCCAGTTTTTCCAGCACCATTAGTTATAACAACTATTATATATATATATATATATATATATATATATATATATATATATATATATATATTCCAGCACCATTAGTTATAAAAAATAATTCTATGATTAGTTTTCAATCTTTTAGTGAGCCTATGCCTCAAGACCATAAATTTCACATATGCTTCTCATTTGCCTTCTTAGGTAGGACAGGATATGTGGATATCCAGTTTTTCCAGCACCATTAGTTATAACAACTATTCTTTCCTTTTTGAATTGTCTTGGTACCTGTGATGATAATCAGTTTATTAAATGTGAGAGTTTATTTCTGGATTCTCAGTTCTATTCCATTGATCTGTCTGTCTGTTCCTATGCCCGTACCAGATGACTTGCTTACTGTAGCTCTGAGTAAGTTTTCAAATTGGGAATTGTGAGTTTTCCAAATTTGTTTTTCCTTATCCAAATTTGTGTGTGTGTGTGTGTGTGTATGGCTATTCTGGGTGCTATGAACTTCCTTAGGAATTTTAGGATCAGTTAGTCAACTTCTGCAAAGAAGGCAGCTAGAATTTTGATGGTTTTACTTCATTTTACATTGTCATTTTTTTCCTAGCATTGTCATTATGAAAAGGAACAGTATTTACTTGTAGTATTTTCCTGGTTTTCTCTTTTCTTTTGAAAGGCCAATGAGATTCCTATCTTCTCAAGCTGCTCCAAGATTATTTAAATACTGTTGTCACTATTTCCTGTTGTGAAATCTTTTTAGCCAGTTAAGTAGAGATCTTTCCCCATAATTCCCCCAAACCAACAAAATATTTTGTTTGCCTCTTTGTGTTTACCAAACAATAGTTTTACCCTTATATTAATGTCTTAGATAAAAGATTGCAAGGCCTTCTAATGAGAGACCAAGCATATAGGGGTTTGTGTAGTAGAAAAACTAACAGAACTGATAGGTAAAATAGTAATGTCTACCCAAAGCTCCATACCTCCAGGGATGTAATTTAAAAGTTTTATTACAAGAAAATTAAGTGAAATGTATTACTTAGTTATTTATTATTGTAGTAGTGGGGTTATTTCCTAATTTACCTTAAGGATAATGTTTTAATGTAAATATCTACTAAATATAGTAATTACTAAATATAGTAATCAGAATATGATGCATGTTTATATTGAATGAAAATAAATGGGATGAAATAAAGTTTTTAGAAATTAACATAGAATGGAGAGAGTATCTGGTATACCAAAGCACTCAGTAAATATTGGTTGAATAAAGGAATGAATGAAAGGAAGCCCCTACATGAATCATTGTTTTTAGAGCCGAGGCCCCTACCTCAGGGATGAGTCTAGTTAATCTCTCAATTCAAAAGGCTAAATCCTGCTTTTAAGGTGGATTGTTTTTTAGTGTTTTCAATTTTCTTAAAGGATAACCTGAGAGTTTCACATTTTTACAGCGTTTATGTCATGGTTGGTGCAGATGTCCCGTTTTCTTCTTGTTTACGAGAAGTTGAAAATCCACAGAATCAATTGAGATGTAGTCAAGAAATGGAGCCTGTAATAACATGTGATAAAAAATTTCGTACTCAATTTTACATTGACTGGTGCAAAATTTCATTGGTAAGTTTTTATTTTGTTTTTGCAAGTTTAGTTAAAAATAATGTGGCTGGAGTTAACGTTTGACTAAAACCTGAACTGCTTTTAGGAATAAATCCTAGGTTTACTTTAACTGCAGTTGACTTCCCTTGAGATTAAGGATCTGGTAAGCTCGTTGACAGTGCATCCGTTTAGGAAAGAATATATCCACTTTTGTACTTATTCTATCCTTGATTAATTGCTGGGGCTGGATTAGCTTGGCAGGTGGTCCAAATGAACCCCTTGGGCATCCATATAGCTGCTAATGAGCACAGATAGTGGAGTTAGTATGATATGTGCAGAAAGATTCTTCTTAAATATTCTGCCACTAACCCACTTTGGAAGGAAAGGATGGAGTACAATAATAAATCTGAAAATAAAGCAGTATTGTGCTATGATTTAATGTTCTGACAACTCAAATTATAGGGAAAGTCCAAGAAACAAGAGACAATTCCAAGTGAAGAAAGTTAGAATCTTACCCATAATTCATAAACATAATATTTCTTTCCAAATCACATTTTAATTTGCATGTTAACAGATTTAGGAAAATGTAAGGTTTCAAATATATGTAAGATATGTGTAATATTTTACATATGTTTGCATATTTTATATTATATGTCTGTATATAATATTTTGATCCTGTTATCTGAAAAGCAGGAGAGTTGTTTCAATTCTTTGTTTTTTTTTTCTTTTCATATTAATGTATCCAACTGATGTTTTAATTATTTAGTGATCTTTTAGATATAACTTCTGTCAATTCTTTATGATTGGTGGTGAGTGAATTAGATCTAAGTTTAAAGTTGACATTTGAACAAAGTTATTGACACATAAACACAATTATCACTTCATGTCTTAGAGAGCCAGCTGCATCCTGGAGAACATATTACTCACATTGCAACACTTAGCACTCCTTGTGGCCTTTTGCCTTGAACTCTCCTTCTCATGCCTCTTGTCTCATGGCCTTTAGAAAAATGGCCTTCTTTGCCTTCCTAAATCAAGTAAAATTATTATTATAGGCAAATTTGCTCAATTATTATAGGAAAATTTGTTCAATCATGGTGCTAACGATACAAGGGTGCAGGAGACTGAGCAGCTGCAACCATAACTTAGGTTCCTCTCCCAGCATCATCAGTGGCCAACAGACCCTAACAATGCCATTTTACTTGTGGTTGTTCTGGAAAATGAGTTTATGTTTAGGACTATTACCCAGTCTCTAAAAGTTAAAAAATGATATACTCCTTGAAGATTTTTGTTTATCTGTTAAGGCTTTATAAGTGGAAAGGTTGGGAATTTTTATTTTTTATTTTACATGTATTTATTTTTATGCCACATCTTGCCACAAAAGATTTCAGAAGGTTAAATAAGATTCATACAGTAAACATAATAAATAAAATATAAAAGAAATGGAAAATCAGGACCTAAATTTCACCCCCCAAAAATAAGCACAAGGCTGTGTTGGACAACAAGCCGCCAATGTGCAGGACAAAAATAAATGAAATTCATATTTAGTTCTCATTTTTAAAAAGGAGGCACATCAATTCCTTGGCAGAAAACAAAAGTTTTTACTAACACTGTATTATTAACAAAATTTTTCAAGTGGAGTTTTTTGGGAGAAGATACTGAATAATGCTGCAACTAATTCTCCCCAGCATTTTATTTTAGTAGCAAATGTAGTAGCAAATTTCACATGGCTATATTTTTAGTGTCCTTCAATAAAAACCTTAGCATAATTAAATGCAACTCAGTGAAAGCAGCTCAATTAATGTGGAGGTAAATTAACATAGTGCAACTGTTGTAGTTTTTTTTTTTTTTTTTTTTTTTTTTTTTTTTTGATACTGGGATAGAATTAAGTAAGACTGGGATAGGTTCCATATTCCCTAGACTATCTTCCATAAAAGTTACTTCTGTCAGCTGGAAGGCAGAAAGATCAAGGACGACACGTTTGGAAATTGTCCCTCTTTTTTTTTTCCTTTTTTCTTTTGCTAAACTTAGAAACCATACGTGCATACCTGGTTTTCAGCCAGTTTTAGGTTTGGTAAAATCTGCACTTGAGCTTTGCCACTAGGAAATAAGACATTTACATGGTAGTGTAAAGGACTACTGCTTTAGAGGAAGGAAACTGAAAAAGAACAACTACACGTATAGGCACACACGTTAAATATGTACACATGTAAATGTATATGTATATATGTTTTAGGAAGAACATAGAAAGTAGACCAAAGTAAAGCCTTTATTACTTTCATTTGTTACATTCCCTACCTCCAATAAATACTTGCAAATTCAAGAGGTGATAAAGTAATTGGAAAAGATGGCTTTTTAGATAATTTGTCAAAGAATGCTTTAGTGTATCCAGATCTTAAAATCTCATAATGTTTGCAACGATTAATTTGTTGTGTAATTGTCTTCTTTTATATCAGGTTGATAAAACAAAGCAAGTGTCCACCTATCAGGAAGTGATTCGTGGAGAGGGGATTTTACCTGATGGTGGAGAATACAAACCCCCTTCTGATTCTTTGAAAAGCAGAGACTATTACACGGATTTCCTAATTACACTGGCTGTGCCCTCGGCAGTGGCACTGGTCCTTTTTCTAATACTTGCTTATATCATGTGCTGCCGACGGGAAGGCGTGTGAGTACTTTAAAACTAATAAGATAATTAGAGATCCTGCTAAGATAACAACATAGAAGATTCCATTAAAAGCAAAGTTTCATTTGGTTCATAAAACACTTTGTAAATGAATTGAAATTGTGTCCAAACTGCAATACTTTATTCCTTTAAAATGAATTAAAATAGTTTTGAGTCTAGTAAATCAAATTAGGGGATATAATTACTTTATTCAAAAATTATTAAGGCTAGATGTAAATTCACACTGGCAAAACAGTCCCAAGAATAATTGAGGCTAGATATTTTGGTTATACAAGCCATCTTGCATGAGCAGAGACTGCAGAATCTACTGACATGGTAATTGCACTTAAAAAAATTGTGTTAGTTTGATCAGAAGTGATGGTCAAAACTCTTGAAATCATTCTGCTGTCAAACAGGGTAACACAATTTAATGTTTAAAATATATTTTTAAAACCCAACTTAGGAGTAAATTAATGAAAATAAGGTATAATTTGAGTAACAAGTCTTCACTTCATGAATAGTTAGTACCTTCAGGACATCTATGTCAATTAAGGTAATCTCCCAAGATTATCTGGAAGTCAGGGCAACAAAGCAAAGGATAAAAAATTAATAAAGCAGCAAGTAACAAATTCTTTCATTTTTACATGTAGCTTGATTTCATTATGTCATAGAATTTATTTCAATCAAGGCCTTGATTCTTAATCTCCATTTTTTTCATTTTTCTATGTGTTTCTCATCAGTATTCCATCGCTGTATGTGTACTCATCCAAGCAATGTCATAAACCTGGTGGCAAATGCTGCCTGGTTGCATTTAATAGTGACAATGTCAGCATTTCCACATCATGCAAGATCCCATGAGCATATAGTCTTAATGTTCCAAATATCAATGCTATTATTTAATTCATAAATTTTGTTTTGTTTCTAGGGAAAAGAGAAACATGCAAACACCAGAGTAAGTGTCTTCTTTCCTGTTATTTTCTTCATCATTTTTTCCCACCTCTCAGTTGCCCATCATGCTCCATACATGTGTGTCAAGCTTTTTTTCATTTGTCATCTTTCATAGTTTATTTCATAAATGTGAAAGCTGCTTTCTAAATAGAGATATTTAGGAGGGGTAGAAACTAAAACTAAAAAGGGTTTGAAAACTAAGATTACACAGATAAAAATTAAACCTAAAATATTTCAGATTCAGAATATTAACTTACCATTTATATTATGTGATTTCCAATCTGCATTTCTATAAACCAGAGAACAGATGAAAAGACCTTTCATACAAGTTTTCCAGAATCTACAGTAATAACCTACCATAAAATGAAACTTCTGTGAGTATTTATAAATGCCCCACCAGAAGCAAAAATATAAAAGCTATGGTAGTTTTATCTTAAATCATAGAAAATAAATAGAAAACTAGTTGGTTACTTAGGACAGTAATATTAATACAATGCTTCATAGCTTAGTTTAATAAAACACCTATGTATTTTAAAATCAGTTTATAATTTTCAGTTTTGTTATATTAAAAGTATGTGAGATGTATGCCTTTCTGAAATAGTTTATTGAATGCCCAAAGTGCCATAATGTCTTATTATTTTAAAAGATAAAAATACTTCATAAGTTTTTCAAATTGATGACCCATCAGGCTAATATATGATTTTAAATATATGTTGTTTTATTTCTTTTTGACCTAGCATCCAACTGGTCCATCACAGTGCTATTCAGAAATCTACCAAGGAGCTTCGAGACATGTCCAAGAATAGAGAGATAGCATGGCCCCTGTCAACGCTTCCTGTGTTCCACCCTGTGACTGGGGAAATCATACCTCCTTTACACACAGACAACTATGATAGCACAAACATGCCATTGATGCAAACGCAGCAGTAAGTGTCCACTTAGAGCCATAATTATTAATATGCATGTATATTTTTACTAATATCTGTAAAGAACAGAGCTTTCTGTTGTTGTGTTTGTTTGTTTATAACTGGAAGAGAAAATAACAAAAGGACATTGTGTAAATCTCACCCCTACTCTCCTGAAATATACAATACAATTACTTTTAGGAAATGCACTTTTTTTCCCCCACTGATCCAAACAAGACTACATATACCTTAATATTTAAGAAATTGACACTGATATTAAACTCAACATTACATGTTTGCTCAAAGATGAGTTAATTATAAAAAAAAGAACCATATCCTAAGCATTTCAAATTGATTATTTTTAGAGATATTAGAATTATTTGGTTTAAACCTATTAAAATGTTATTACCATAGACCTTTGTAATCTAAATTTTTGCCTCAGAATTAAGGGTGTTTGGGTTGTTTTTTATGATCTGCTTGTATGTCAGAGCAAGCAGCTCCAATTTGGACTATAAACACCTATTTTATTAGTGCAAACCTTGTCTAGTGCTATAGGGATCAGGGTTAGAAAGGCTAGAAGGACTTTGTAAGGAGTAGACAAGGGTGAGGGGTGAGGAAACTGTACAGTTGCATTTGGGAGACCATGCTATATAATGCTGTAATGCAGCATTATGCTACATCATATATTGCTGATATAATGTAGCCTAGTGGCCACATTTTTATATAAGGGAATGGTGGGTAAAACTGTTATTTATAAGAATATGTCTCTTTTTTTCTTTTTTTTTTTTAAGATGGAGTTTCGCTCCTGTTGCCCAGGCTGGAGTGCAATGGAGCGATCTTGGCTCACTGCAGCCTCCGCCTCCCAGGTTCAAGTGATTCTCCTGCCTCAGCCTCCCAAGTAGCTCGGATTATACGCACCTGCCCCCATGCCCAGCTAATTTTTGTATTTTTAGTAGGGATGGGGTTTCACCATGTTGGCCAGGCTGGTCTTGAAATCCTGGCCTAGGTGATCTGCCTGCCTCAGCCTCCAAAGTACTGGGATTACAGGTGTGAGCCACCATGCCCGGCCTTTTTTCTTTTTAACCAAATGTTAAAATGAGTTGAATTCAATTGCCCTAAGCACTAGAAGTCATGAAGTTGGCTTTTGAGGTCCTCCTCTTTTTCACTTTACTTTTATAGATGGAATGGCTATGCAGAAAAATCTCTCTTTCTCACTCTCTCAGTCTCTCTTTCTCTCTCTCTCATACACACAGACACATACACACCCCTTAGGATATAATATTAAAGTGAACACATTTACCTGGGAACTCTGCTGGGTACATTTTTCCCATTGAGTGCTTATTCTGTAACCAGGTAGAATGCATGTGGTAATTTGAAGATTAAATAATAATTAATATAAGTAGTATAGATAGACTAGATAAGTTTATCCAGAATACTTCAGAAACCCAAAAGTATTATGAATATTTTTCTAAAGTTCTCTAACATCACTTAGGGTCATACAGACTAAGGTGCCTGTTTATGTGCATGTGTGTATGAGAGTGTAAGTAATGGGTAGTGGGTAATTTAAGAAATGGGTGAAATTGCATATGTTTACAATTTTGAATTTTTGAAACATTAATATATCAGGGATATAAATATTAAAGTCTACAAAATTTAGTTGTACTGAATGCAACGGATGGGTTTCTATGCTCTCTGGTGGTCAGTAGCCCACCTATTATGGGTCATCATAAAACCCAGTTTACCGGGATTAGATACTGATGAGAAAAATTGGTAAAATTTCAAGAATATTGTAATAATTCAGAATTTAACAACCTCTTATCCCTTTTTAGATGAAAATTATGAAATGGCTTTATCATTCATTTTCAAAATGAAAAGAATTTGTACTTATTCTTTAAGGTTATTATTTCTGATATTGTTTACCCTAGCGTGCCAGTGAAATGTTGACAGATATCCTTCAAAAAAATGGAATGATCAAATACACTTGGAAAAAAGTAGTAGCAACACTGCAGAATTCTAACATGAAACAAATCCTGTAGCTAACCAAATTGTTTATGAATGATGAATTCAGTATACTTAGTATGAATGTGAAGATGAAATGCATGCCCTTTTAAGAAGGGTTAATTAATAAGTACAAGGCAGCATTATCCAAGCATATACCTGGTTATCGAGTACTGTAACGTAAAGGTTTTATTTCTCTGTTTTTTAAGCTACAACAGTCTTCAGTCCCTTAGTGTGTTGATACACTTTGTGAATCCATAGGAAAAGGTCAGAATAGGTAACTCTTCAAAGAACACAGTTTGAGAAATGCTTCTGTTGATAATGTAACAAACAGTGCTGTAGAATTTTAGAGTAGAAAACTAGTTATAATGAGTAGGGGAACTTGAATATGTTTGTAAATCAATAAAACTCTATTGCTAGTGAAATTTAAGAGCGGAAAAAGGTTGCTGTCATTTTAAGATAACCCTTTCTAACCACATATATTGAAAATAAGAATAGCTCCTTAAAAAGTATTTTGATTCCCTGTGGTTAGAATTTTGCAATGTTGCTACTAATATACAAGCAAAATAAAATTTTCTATCTAGTTTACACCAAATGGATCTTTCTGGTCCTTCCATAACCCCATCAAGACTGTCATTAGGTTGATCAGATCTCTCTATTTGCAAATGCAATAGGCTATTATATTGAACTTGCAACAATTTAAACACATACGTATTTTTAAGTCCAGAAAACCTTCACATTATTCAGATTTCTGCTAATGGAAAAGCTCCATTAACTAGCACTTCTATATAAATAGGGTACACAGATAATTGATGATGTTCACAATGATTATTCTGAGGCACTGCAGGATCATCAAGTGCGTCTGACTCATCAGAGGAAAATTAAATTACATTCGGTGTCGTTTCAGTGTTGAGTGTATATTATCTTTCTTTTATTCTTAGAAATGGATAATATGTGCACAGTCTCTATGGTAACTCCCTATAAGCCAGAATATGTGATTAACCTCATTTTCCAGCCATGCCAGATAATAGGGAATTTATTGTATGGGGTTCATCATAGCTGTCCTTTATGCAAATTCAACTTTTACTTTTTACCAGAAAAACAGCTATGTTTTAAAAGTTTTACTTCAGCACTGAGTAGACACACACAAATATTTTGGTCATTTGGATTGAATTGAATTCTCAAGATTAAAATGTGATATTATATTTTGGGAGGCATTACAGTACTCAATAACCAGGTATATGCTTGGATAATGCTGTCTTGTACTTATTAATTTACCCTTCCTATAAGGGCATGCATTTCATCTTCACATTCATACTAAGTGTACTGAATTTATCATTCATAAACAATTTTTAGCTAGCCAAAGGATTTCATGTTTATTCTTCAGATTGATACCGGAAATATTCAGACATGGATATGGCTAAAGGTTTATATTGGCTTCTAAGCAAGACTCAAGAATATTCAAAGCTTTCTTTCAAAACTGCATAAAACTAGTTTGTTCCTTTAAACAAGTCAATTTACATCAAAGTTATAGAGAACTCACAATGTTATGTAATGAATGGCTGCCACCATTATCAATTACATAGTAATATTTTCTTTTTGGTAGAATGTTTCACAGAGCTCCAGACTGGCACCATAAATTAGTCAGTAAGAAAAAATGTTTAATCATTTGCAGATGATAAATTTGAGACACTGATAAGAGACAAAGTTAAATTAGGTCAGAACTGAGATTAGATTATTTACCTATCCTGATATCTAGGCAGGGATAGATAGTGTCGGTCATTGACCTCAGAAGGATCTCTGATTCAGGTTATAAGCAAAATGAATAAAGAGGCAGTGGACAGGGAAGCTGGAGCAGAACCTGGAGATGTAGCACATGCCTAGAAATGAGGTGTTTCATTTTGTACTGTGTTTCTTTTGCTTTTCAAATTACAGAGACAATATAAATAGGCTGTTAAAACTATCACATAGTCTAGAAATGTAAGGCCAACTTAATTTGATCTTGGCTAATGTGTTTATTCTTTAATAAACTTTTTATTTTGGAATGATTGTAGAGGTACAGGAAAGTTACAAAGATAATAGAGAGTTCCCAGATACGCCTCAGCCAGTTTCTCCCGTTGTTAACATCTTACAGTACCATGGTACATTTGTCACAATGAGGAACCCAGTTTCGGTACTTTACTGTTACCTAGACTTCAGACTTTTTTCAGATGTCATTCGTTTTTCCACTAATGTCCTTTTTCTGTTCTAGGATTCCATCTAGGACACAATAATCACTATGTCTCCTTAGTCTCCTCAGGTCTGGGCATTTTCTTAGACCTTTCTTGTGTCCCATGACCTCGACAGTCATGAGGAGCTATAGCCAGGTATTGTGTAGTATGTCCCTCATGCCCTCATATAGTAAGTTTTTCTGCATCTGTACTTAGTTATCTTTGTAGCCTAGTGAATAAGTGTTGCCATTAATAGCAGTAATAATTTTTTCCCCTATAGACATTTGTCTTAGTTATTAAAATTCATTCCTGGAAATCACATTGTAAAGTAATTCTTAAAAGTAAATTGACTTTGCCCAAAGAATCATTGTTGTGACTGGTGTTATGTTTGTGACCAAAGACTTCACATCAAAAATCTATTACGTATTTGACCGGTGTACCTCAATGATTGCCCTTTCTAATTATTTAAATGAAAAAAATTTAATTCCAAGTAATAACATTTTAGGTCATCAAAGGAACGTCAAGAGAGAGTCTAGCCTTGTTCCCAAACCACGTTGTGTCAGAATCACCATAGAGCTTTTACAGTACACATTCTGGGGCTCTGAGTATGGGAATTTGGAGTCTGGTGGAAGTGTATGTTATGGTAGAGCTCCTGCAGAGAGCTTCTCAACAAAGATTGAGAATTCCTGGCTTAATAATCAAAAGACTTAAGTTTCAGGATTGGAAAATCCAGAGCTCTGAGTAAGAAGGGTTGTTATTCACATTCCTCTACATGGAGTTTTAAAAGGGGAACAGTTTTTCCTAAATTCCCCCATGTGAAACTGAAAGAATAGCAGTCCATGCACATTGTCTAGGAGGTTGGAGCTGTTTGGGAGTTTATACTTCTCAGCCTCTAGACTCTTCCATACCTCCTTAAACTGCCTGAGGAAAATGGTGTGGAGAGGTTGAGAGATGAGAGCTAATCAGAAAACAGTGCCTGGAACAGCTAAAAGCCATTGAAAAAATGTTATTTTGTAGTCTTATGCTTGGGGAAAGGGACATTGACTGGAGGATCCCAAATATTTGATTTTCTAAAAAATAATTTATTATTATATTAAATTTGTAGTGAGGTATGCTGTCTTTTGGGGAAAGATCTGCCTCTTCACTACTCTTTTCTTATGCCAACATCAATACCAATTGATTTTTTTGGAGTGGTAGGCATCTTCATGAGGCCCCTTAGGTAATGAATAATTGGGGAATAGTACTCCACACATTTTTCAGGAAGATATTAATTTGCTACACAAAAATTTTCCTTATTCATTATTCTAAACATAATTCCTAATCCAGGATAATTGGGTCTCTCTCAAAACAGGAGATAGGTTGTACTTAATCTTTTGAAAATTAACAAGTATAAAAGTAGAATTAAGTCTTCTAATTGAAGACAGTATCTAATCATTTTAGCTTTTATTTAAATATTTTTCCATTTGTCCTGCTTTTGGTCACAATGACAACTAACTTTATGGTAAAATTCCATAAATAAAAATTAAGTTTTAATAAAAGTTAATATCAGTTGAAGACAGTGTTTCAGGGGACTAAGATTATGGTGTCCTGTTGAGAAGTATCAGGCAGCCAAGAATATTTCAGAGCCATTGTTTTCCAAAAATATATAACTATTTCTTATTGTTAAATGATGTCACCATACTAACTGAAAAGTGAAATGTTTTGTATTTCACACAACTAGTGTCATTTTCTTTGAACTCTGGCATGGATTCTGTGGCTTTATGCAAATCATCATTTTGCTTTTTAGTTTGAAACAAGTAGCAATATAATCAGTTGATAATCATCAACCTTACTCACAGAATTACGGTATAGGGTATCCAAGAATGTCAAATTACTTTAAAATGGTTGTACACATAAGAAATAATTGTGTACTCCCCCCAACTCACTTATTTATTAATTTGCAAGTTATTACTCTTGCATTCTTAAAGAATGAAGTTTGTGCAATGACTAATTTACACAATTTTCTATTTAAATGCATGAAATTAATGAACATAAAATGAGAAAATAATTAATGCTAATAATTTAGTTACAGTTTTCTTAAATTTCTACATAATGCAGTTTACACATAATAACTTTTCACTTAGTCTAATAATCATTAAATTGTTTTATGACTTCATTAAGGTCCCTCCTTGGAAGGATTATAGGGCCTCTATTTGAAGTCGACCCCCCGCTCCTGTATAATTGCCTTTAGCAGCCTGCTCTCACCAAAGATGAGAATTTGCCACTTTCTTCCTGCATTCTCTGCATCTTAACTAGCAGAGTTGGGATTGAAGGCATTTTTTCCAGTATGCCTGAAGCAGTGCTGTTATAAAGTATGTCCCTTCAACTCTTAAATGAAATACACAGTTTTAAATATGCCCATCATAGATACATTCACACTTTAATACTTACAGGTTCACATTTAGTTACAAGTTTGGGAAGCCACAAAAACAGAGCTATGTGCACACATCTTGGAGACTCAAGGGTCTCCTTCAAAACAGGAGATAGGTTGTACCCAATCAGGGGATGTTGAATCTCAGTATTTTTTTGGTTGAGCACCTTTTTGCGCACACAAGCATTTTTAATATAACTCATCTAAGTTTCCTTTGAAACTGCAAGGAGTGCATGAGCATTGTTCAAACACAACCACTTAGAACACCCACTATGGATACTTTTCAGTCTCTAAATCAATATAAGACACACAGTTGCTTTCTTATGCATCTTCTCCGAATTTCTTGCTAGTTTGTGTGTGGCATTTTTCTCAACCAGCCATGTCTTTTCACCTAGCCCAGCCCATTGTGATTTAGAAAGTTTAGCAATGTAGCAAAAGAGGAAAAAACGGAGGCTAGAAAAGAAACGACAGGGCATAGGTTGACTTTGATCAGTGGTTTCCAAGCTAAATTCCACAGAAAGGTCAGTTGGGAGGGCCAACAAGAGAAGTGGGGGGCATCCAACTACCTCATCCAAATGCTGATTTTGAATTTGGAGGATCCTTAATCTAGTGCTTTTGGAAAACATGTGTCTTTGTTTACTAACCACTACCTATGTTAGAACACCTACATTCTATATTTTCTTTATCCTGTTTGATTTTTGTATTTTGTCAGAATGTGTTGATTCAATCTGCTGACAGGCTAGGTAGAGCTAGAGATGGTAAGGAATGAGGAAGTGCTTGTGTGTGGTGTGCGCCTATGTGTAGAAGGTGCACTGTGTTCGTTTTGAGTGTAGAATAGACCCAGATCAGTTATACCTGAGTAGGTAAAATAAAACACATCCTCCCACCCTGTGTGAGATGCCCATCTAATTGCATTTTGACTTCTGTAGTAAAGATATTTGCCTTGCCATCTTTAAATGTAGAACTTATTCCCTCTTTGTAGTTTATAAATTGATCTTTTTACTTTTGTGACCAAAACCAATATAAATACATTGTGTGAAATTCTGAAAGAACAAACAAGCTAAAAAAGAAATACTCCTCTAGCCTACACAAGGATAAGGCTGATAAGTAACAATAAAAACGAATATAATCGTCGGGATGAATTATTAAGTAACTTCCTCAAATTGTGTTAGAGTTGAGTTTATTATTTCCCTAGTAATATCTTTAAAGTGGAACTGAAACATTAAAAAAAACTCTCAAAGGTGTTACCTATAGATTAAGAGTTTAAACAGCATTTAACTAGCACGCACTGTTTTCCACTTTAGATTGTTGTATTTGGAACATAATATTTGCCTGGCTGAAATAATTCATATCAATGGTTTTCAAACTGTTTTTTACAGATTTCTTAGAATTGCTGTAGGGGCCAGCATGAGGGACAAAGAAAACAAAGCTGACAGGATTCCTAACTCCCTTGTTTCAACCCAGGCAACCTCACATTTATCTCTTTTGTACATCACAGTTCTGCTTAGGGTTTCAATTAAGAGGAATCCCAGTGCTAAAGAGAAAACAAAAAACTGAAAATCCCCAGCTTGGATCAAACTTTATTACAAAGGACTGACTCCTGGAGTTTCTTCCATACAGAACCTAAATTGTACATTTTCATAAACTAATTTTAGTATCAATATGTGAAACTAAATCTGTAAGTTAATAAATGTATATACTTTATAATGCTTACTGCTGAGGATACTAAACAAAATATGATGGTTCTTATTCTTAATATACTTTGGGGCAATTAAATATTATATACAGAGAATACAATGACAATCAGCATGTGAATGAAAGCATGCTAAATGGTAACCTAATTTGTGGGTTGCTTAGAGAGTGAGGATGCATAGGAAGGTGGTTCTTGAGATTTTTTTAATTAAAAATAATATGTTAAAAATTTTAATAACATTTCTCATGGGAATTTTTAAACTATAAGAGTAATACCTGTATGCTGTAACAAGTTCTGAGTTGAGTTAGCAAGAACAAATGGGAGCTGATTGTGTACAGGACATGGTAGTTGGTTGTTGGCTTCAAGCAGACATGGGGCACTCCATGTAGGAGTGAGATATATTGTGGCTTTCCAGGCCACATTAAGAAATCTGAAATTTAATCTGCAGATAGATACAAGGAAATATTGAAATGTGTGTTATTTAAATGACATAATCAGATTTGTGTCTTAGAACAGTGGTCCCCAAGCTTTTTGGCACCAGGAACTGGTTTCATGTCAGACCAGGAGTGGGGGATGGTTTGGGGTGGTCCAAGTGCATTGCATTTATTATGCACTTTATTTCTATTATTACATTGTAATATATAATGAAATATTATATAACTCACCATAATGTAGAATCAGTGGGAGCCCTCAGCTTGTTTTCCTGCAACTAGACAGTACCATCAGGGGGTGATGGGGGACAGTGACAGATCATCAGGCATTAGATTCTCATAAGGAGTGCACAACCTAGATCCCTCGCATACGCAGTTCACAGTAGGGTTCATGCTCCTATGACCGTCTACTGCTGCCGCTGGTCTGACAGGAGGCAGAACCCAGGTGGTAATGCAAGTGATGGGGAGCACCTGTAAATACAGATGAGGCTTCGATGGCTTACCTGCCACTCACCTCCTGCTGGGCAGCCCAGTTCCGTGTCCCAGGGGTTGGGGACCCCTGTCTTAGAAGATTATTCTGACAGCAATGTGCAGAGTGGATTATAAGGGGACAAGAATGTAAATGAGGAAACAAGTCAATCCCCTTACAAGGATCCAAGTGAGAAATGATGATGGCTTCAACCAAGTTAGCAATGGAGATGGGGAGGAATGGGGCAGATCCAAATGAGACAAAAAGAAATGTCAAAAGTCCCTAAGTGATTGAATGTGGGGACTGAAGGAGAGGGAAGGAACAAGGATGACTTCTGCATTCCGCCAATGCATCTGGATGCATGGCCAGTGTCATTCCTGACACGAAGATAAAAGAGCACAGATGTTTGGGATAGTGAATGAAGGTGGTTATATATGTTGTTCCATGAAAATGTGTGATCTGGATCTGAAAGTGTATAGGTTAAGAGCACAAGCCACTGTGTTCACATCTTTACCTACCATGTCCTAGCTATGTGGCCCTGGATCTCCAAGGCTATTTCTTCACCCATAAAATGGGAAAAATATTAACACCTACCTCTTAGGGTTGTTGTGAGGTACTTTAGAGTATAGCCCGCAGTGAAAATTTCATGCATGTTATCAAATATTGTTAATTTTTATTCTCCTCAGACCTCAGTTTCCTCATCTGTAAGCTCATGAAAGGGGAGGGGAATTGTGCTGGATTACATGACTGGGGTCATAGTTTACCCGTAAAGTTTTTCATTCTAGTATGTCTGCTCTCTGTTTACAAGTGTGTAAACAAACAGTTTTACTCAAAAATGTTCATCATTTCTAGGAACTTGCCACATCAGACTCAGATTCCCCAACAGCAGACTACAGGTGAGTGCTAAGAATAATAAATTAATGTTTATGAATGAATCTAATAGATTAAAAGATAATTATGGCACTATATAATTTATGAAGCTTTATCTTCACCAAATAAGGCAAAACACTTGTGTCATTCCTTAATCAGACTTAAAACCTCAGAATAATAGCTTAGATTATTACATAGATTGGCATCAGAATGATAAACACAGGGTAAATGATCTTAGAGCAAAAGCATCCATGGAGGTCCTGTCTAATTAAGGAAGACTGAATGAAACCCCTTTCCTTCAGTGAAGTTCCCTATTCTTCCCCTTGGTATGAAAGATTCTTAGCTTGGATGCATCCAGGATTTGTCTCAGTAAGTGAGCAGCTTGAAGTTTCAAGCTCTCTTACAAAAGGAAACCATTGTGACTAATCACTGAGGCTTCAGGGGGATAAATGAGAAATGGCTGGCCTGGTTTTAAAGCCGCTTTAAAAAGCTGTTATAACATGACCAATGACAACAAGATGGCGGACAATTCTCCTTGGATTATTCTATTTCCCTAAGACTTGCTTTCTTTATTTCTTTCAAGTGTCCCTAAAAATTTTCCACAGCCAATTATTTCATTCATCTCTATACTGAGTAGATAACTTATTCATGATTGTCTTCTAATTAGTGGTTGATTCCTAGTTCTAATTGCCAGGGAACCATTAATGCCTTTGTAGCTCTTTTGGAAAAGCAAGAGAAGTTTTAAAAATGTAAGTTGGGTGTGGAATTCTGAGTATGAATAGCGGCATTGTGGTAGGGAAACTATTAAGTAAGTCTCTTAAAAACTTCAGGCACATTCAGAAATGTGTTGGATGTTTTCATTCAGAAATTATCTTCTCTATTACTGCTTTCGTGAATTTAAGGAGATTTTCGTTTGACAACTTTTCAAAGATTTGAGGCAAGTATAATGAAATTGTTCATCAGATTTCAATTACAAGATGTTTATCAGAATTTTTCCCTACAATTTTGATTACTTGCTTTAATTAAATGCTAACATGTTTCAACAAGACTGTTCAATATATTGATGTGTTGGTGCTACTTTGTAAGCATTCAGGAGATTGATGAAGGAACAAACTTTGTTATAAAAATGAGTCACCTAAAGAGAGAAAAAAGATAAATGAATCCCTACTACCACTAATTTCACAGCTATTTTTTAAAAGGAAAATTTCTAAAAGAATACTTCTACGATAGAAATGATAGAACTTCTTCGTTATTAACCTTGTAGCTTCCATCTCGCCTAAGATTTCTATCTTCTGATTCTTAATTATTTCAGGCATGGAGTGAGTAGGAAGCAGGCAATTTCTAGAAAAACAGTAAATATTTATTTTGAGTATTTAAAAATCCAGATTTTACTTACTTACCCACTAGGGGAATTAGGAAACTTGAGTAGATGATATTAGGGCAATTTGTTTAGTAGTCACATAGATTTTTTAGCAAGTACTCTTGTTAACTTGCTACATTTTAGTAATACAGAGCACTTCCAAATACAAGGACAATTTATGCCTAAACAAATATAAGAGCCAAAGAGTTTTCCTAGGGGATTTTAAGGTTGTTTAACCTAATTTATAAAATTATTTTTCTGAAACAGATTTTAGGGAGCAGGTATTTTGCTTGAGTCAAGAAAGCTTTGCTCTCCTTTTTAGTTAACACTAGAGCCTATTACCTTCTTGTTTTCTTACATTTTTCTGCAATTTGGATCATATTATAGACTAAAGTACAGTATCTCCTCTTGGTTGTTTTGTTGTTATTGTTTTATTTAGTGAGTCCCCAAAATATCTTAAGTGCCAAAGGGAGAGAGACCACCCTAGCATTTTTTTTTATAATTATGCAAGATTGGTGTGTTTGTGCCTCTGGTACATTTAAAACTAAATGGAGGCTGGGTGCGGTGGCTCACACCTGTAATCCCAGCACTTTGGGAGGCCAAGGCAGGCGGATCACCTGAGGTCAGGAGTTCAAGACCAGCCTGCCCGACATGGCGAAGCCCTGTCTCTACTAAAAAAATACAAAAATTAGCTGGGCATGGTGGCATACACCTGTAATCCCAGCTACTTGGGAGGCTGAGGCAGAAAAATCACTTGAACCTGGGAGGTGGAGGTTGCAGTGAGCCAAGATCACGCCATTGTACTCCAGCCTGGGCAACAGAGTGAGACTCTGAATCAAAAAAAGAAAAAAAAGAAAAAAGAAAACCTAAATGGAGGCATGCCTCCTGGAGAGAAGGGCTGATGGGCAGTTTACATTCCTTATTTCCATTCTGTTCATTTAAATGAAAAAGTTTATTTCTCAATTTCTAAATTCTTCTATCTGAAAATGCATGGATTTAGTGCTGTTTATATATTTTTGTGAGTACGGCAGCTTTTCTTTTCTTTTACCCTGATTATCCTAATACTGCATAGAGGCAGCTACATTTATGCATGATTATCATCAAACAGTAACTGGAGTTTTCCAAGTACCACAGAACATTATGCACATGTCAGTTTTCTTTATGAAGGTAATTTAGGCACAAGAGTTTGCGTCTTGGATACCAAGTAATTTTATTTGTAGCTACCTATATGGAATTTATCAGGGGAAAGTATATCTTGAAGTTGTTGTTTTTTTTTTTTTTTTTTTTTTTTTTCATTTAGTTCCTTGTTTTCTTTTAAATTCCTATCAAAGCTTTAAGAAATGAACTAGCTGCTGGTGTTGTGTTCCTGGACTTGAGCACTAGCTGGGATAATAGAGCAGTTAAAAGCTGACAATTGCACTAACTTTTGGACTAGGCCCAAACCATTAGGTTTGATGCCCCTTCAGGTTTTCTCATTTTCTCTGCCCTACCAGCCCACATGATATTTTTTTAAAAGCCACGATTAAAAGGTACAGTTATACATCCTGCAGTTAACCTCCATTCTTTTTGTTTATTGTGGGAGGAATTTTCAGACTGTACCTCTTGGGAAATACAAAATATTATAGCTTTGGTCCAAGAAGGAGAAGACTAATTTAGAATTTTTTCTTTTGTTTTCTGTTTTTTAAAAAAACCAAATACAGAGAAATAATGCAATGTAATTATTTTACATTGTATTAAGAAGATGGAAACTTTCTCCTTGCCATAATTTGCTTTGCTCAAAATCTAAAAGTATCCATGCCCTGACTAACTCCTGCCCATATTCATTCTTACACATTGCAGGTAAATGGTATCCCTGAAGAAAGAAAACTGACTGAAGCAATGAATTTATAATCAGACAATATAGCAGTTACATCACATTTCTTTTCTCTTCCAATAATGCATGAGCTTTTCTGGCATATGTTATGCATGTTGGCAGTATTAAGTGTATACCAAATAATACAACATAACTTTCATTTTACTAATGTATTTTTTTGTACTTAAAGCATTTTTGACAATTTGTAAAACATTGATGACTTTATATTTGTTACAATAAAAGTTGATCTTTAAAATAAATATTATTAATGAAGCCTAATGACTGGTGAAATTTACTTCAGTAAACTATTTGCTTCCTATTTAGTAGAAATCTTTTAATCGCTAGAAACAGGTTTATGTGTTCATTCTCATTCCACAAGACTTTAGTGCTTCCTATGAATATATAAAATGCCTGTGCCTCCGTGTTCCAGTTGAGCAACCCATTTAAATAATACTTTAACTCTTGTGGCCTGTAAATCCTGTTGTTTTATATACCACTTGGGAGTGTTTTCGAATAAACCTAGTTTTATGGATTGTGAAACTGATGACACCCAATTCATGCAGGGCAGCCCACGCTGCGTACTTACTTGACTTCATAATCAGATATTTGGTGGGTTTTTTTTTCTACAGCTACACCTACTGGAATGGGAGGACATTTGGATCTAGAAGCAAGACAGGAGCTGTTACACAAAAAGAGAATAGTTACTGCTAATGTGACATCAGTTAGCTCCAAAACCCCAGAGTACCTTGCAGTAACTCTTTTATGTTCAAGGCTCTCATGCATCTTGGATACTACTGGATCAGTGTGGCTATCATGTCACCTGGCAGGACAGCTTTCCTTGCAGACTGGACTAGCTGGAAAACCTTCTCTTAATCTACTTTGGGCAAATTTTTGTGTCACCTATTAGGTGCCCAGAGGTCACAAAAATTCCAAAATCCAGAAAGATTCCCTGTTAATGTTAGGTACCGTAACTTGTTTTCCACTTAGGGAGAATACTCTGTCATATCATTGACATTAGAACCTCCCTCTTCTTTCTAGGACAGAGGATGTAGGTTCTCTTATTTCTTAAAGATGTATCTCTAATTTCTTCCTAAGTTAACTAGGGCATTGCCACTTGCTGTTCTCCAGGAGTAATCAGCTTGAGATTGTAAATGTATTGCATCAGTGTCATGGCCTAGGAGGAATGCAATGTTGTCAAGGCTCCAGAGGACCAGATTTTGGCACAGACACAGAGTAAACAAACTGTTGCTCTTACCAGGTGAAATCAAACTGCTCCTAATAGTCCAAGTGAGCAGGAATAAAGTAATGCACAATCGACATATCATGGACAACAGATGAGAAATCAGGAACTTTATTCATCTATTCTAGTAAAGAAGCCATTTGGAGATTGCAAAGTGCAGTTGGAATTAGCATTGGTTTTTGCACTGACCATATTGAGGTATTGAATGGGGAGAGAAATCATTGGCCAGCATCTTACAAATCTTTAATAATAGCTTTAATCGCTGCAGTTCCCCGTGAAAAAGTGATCTTGTTTCTGACTTAACATTTTGATGGGGAAAAGAGTCCAGATAATTTCCCCTTGGTTGATGCTACCCTAATAGTCCTTAAGGACTATTAAGGGTTTTTTTGTTTTGTTTTGTTTTGTTTTAACAAAGTGAGGATTCTGCCACATGCTGAGGACTGCTATCCCAACTGTACTCTCCTAGTGGGCAAATGACTATATGGTAAGTTTTGGGTCCTGATGGTAAACTTAAAACACCTTTTCAGTTAGCCAGCATAATCCCTTGATCTAAAATACTGACTGTAGTGGTTCTGTACATTTTCAGCAATTCCAGTAAACTCAGATTTAGATTCCAAATATCCCCTAAAAGTTTGTGGCTTTTCCATCCTCCAGGGTATATTTACCCATACACATGACAGCCTCTCTTTGAGGAAGGTCTAGGTTCAATTTCCACATGGTGTGTACCTAAGGTTACAAGATTTCCCAGGTTCCAGGTTCCACAGGTTCCATGTCTATAAATTGGTTCTTTAGAATTGACTAAGGGACCATGATTCTTTTAAACATTGACCTTAGTAAGGCCTTCTCCCACCAAGCTTGTGTGTTTATTTCTATCCCCCTTCAGTACTTACTTGGAGGCTACATCAGTAATGGTACTGGGCAGTGAGCAACAAGGAATTGTTGATCTTTAGACAGAAGTGCCAATGGCAGTAATGAAATTGAAAGCCCCTAAACATTTATTTAGGTCAAAGTATGCATTAAAAATTCACATCTGTAAGTCTACACTGATGACAGAAAAGAGCACTAAGTAAAGCTATTAAGGCTAAATTTGAGGCTAAGAGAATACTTAGAAGAAAATTAAATAGAAAATAACATCAAGGTCAGTGCCTCCAAGTACATACATAGCAAATAAGTGAGGTGAGTGACACTTGGGATCAATGGTCCAAGATCTGAGCTGTTCTCATATCTTGACCATACCAATTAAGGATGAATAAAAGCCTTTAAGCAAGCCATCCAAAAATAGGGCAGCCTCAAAAATTTGCATTTCAGAATTTCCTATGAAACACCTCTACCATTTGCTTCCTTACTGAATGCCTAATATGTTACTATAAGTCAGAGAGTGTTCTAAGGATGCAATGGTGAGCCAAATTAGACATAGGCTTGTTCTCAAGGAGTTTACATTCTACTGGAAAAGACAGATATTAAGTCGTCATACAAATAAATGTCAACCTGTAATAGTGATAAATGCTATAAGGGAAAGTAATTGATGCTATAAAAGTTTATCACAGCAGGACTTCACCTAGTCAGCAAGGTCAGAGAAGCTTCCCTAAAGTTTGGTTGATACCAAAAGAATGAGTAGTAAATGCTAAGATGAAAAGAAACTATCAACAGAGTAAACAGACAACCTACAGAATGGGAGAAAATTTTTGCAATCTATACATCTGACAAAGGTCTAATATCCAGCATCTATAAGGAACTTAAATTTACTAGGGAAAAAACATTAAAAAGTGGGCAAAGGACATGAATAGACAATTGTCGAAAGATGACATACATGTTGCCAAAAAACATATGAAAAAAAGCTGGCCAGGTGCAGTGGCTCACGCCTGTAATTGCAGCACTTTGGGAGGCCGAGGCGGGCAGATCACTTGAGGGGTAGTAAGGAGTTCAAGACCAGCCTGGCCGACATGGTAAAACCCCATCTCTACTAAAAATACAAAAATTAGCCGGCCATGGTGGCGGGCACCTGTAATCCAAGCTACTTGGAAGGCTGAGGCAAGAGAATCACTTAAACTCTGGAGATGGAAGTTGCAGTGAGCTGAGATCGTGCCACTGCACTTCAGTCTGGGCGACAGAGTGAGAAAAGCTCAACATCGCTGATCATTAGAGAAATGCAAATCAAAACCATAATGAGATACCATCTCACACCAGTCAGAATGGCTATTATTAAAAAAAAAGTCAAAAAATAACAGATGCTGGCAAGGTTGTGGAGAAATAGGAATGCTTTTACACTGTTGGTGGGAGTGTAAATTAGTTCAACCATTGTGGAAGACACTGTGGTGGTTCCTCAAAGACCTGGAGACAGAAATACCATTCAACCCAGCAATCCCATTGCTGGGTATATACGCAAAGGAGTATAAATTATTCTATTATAAAGATACATGCACATGTATGTTCACTGCAGCACTATTCACAACAGCAGAGAGGTAGAATCAACCTAAATGCCCATCAATGACAGACTGCATAAAGAAAATGTGGTACATATACACCATGGACTACTATGCAGCCATAAAAAGGAATGAGATCATATCCTTTGCAGGGACATGGATGGGGCTGGAGGCCATTATCCTTAGCAAACTAATGTAGAAACAGAAAACAAAATGCCACATGTTCTCATAAGTGAGAGCTAAATAATGAGAACACACGGACACATGGGGGGTAACAACACACACAGGGACCTGTTGGAGGGCAGGAGATGGGAGGACAGAGCGGATCAGGAAGAATATCTAGTAGGTGCTGGGCTTAATACCTGGGTGATGGGATGATCTGTGCAGCAAACCATATGGCACACGTTTACCTATGAAGAAACCTGCACATCCTGCACATGTAACCCTGAGCTTAAAACAAAAGTTGGAAATGAAATGAAAAAAATGTCATTTGATGTCAATTGAAAGAATGAGAATGGAAGTTTGCCTGACAACTAGTGTTGGACAGTGTATTAAAACTGGCATTGATATACAGCCAGTGAGATTTTTAGTTGGTACCACTTTCCTGGGAAGAGACTTGACGATATGTTCTAAGAGCCTTTAAGCTTGATTTCATATGCACCAAGCAATTTCTAATTTAAGTTTGGATTCTCATGTTTATCTTTTGTGGAGACACAGCACTGGTCATGGCACTAGGAGAGTGATATTTTTCACTATATATTTAAAAATTGGCCTTTGAGTCTATGTGTCTAATGTGAGTCTACCCCTAAATGGTAGCTTTCCTTATGGGATTCTGGCAAAATCAGGCTCCTGATCCTGTAATACCAAAAGCCAGCCCATGGACTATGGTTAATTGAAGGAGTAAGTGTTCCCTGGAGAGGGCTCTTGACAATGATGCAATTGGTATCCTTTGCAACACCTTGGCTGACTACTCCCTGTTAATTCAAACTGCAACAGAAAATATAGTTTATTTGAAAAGAAACTAAGAGAATGATATGTTTCAGTGCTGGTATGCGAAGAAGTATTCCAAGTATGAGCAAAAGGGTAGGGCAGGAGTAAACACTATGTGCATTGTGAAATAATTGGTGGCTTTGCAGCCTAAGATGAGTAGTCTCAGGTGACAAGTGACTCAAGAGTTCTAAGGCCATCTGTTGGAACAAAGGTGATTTTGGAAAAACAAATCTAACTGAACTTGTGATGGTGCTAAGATTAGGAAAGTTATATCCTGACTTTATTTGCAATGTTATAATTTTTTGTAAGGAAGAAAGTATTCATATCTTACTTGAGTAATTAGAAAATCTTCAATAAAAATTTAGGGAAATGTCAAAGAAAGAAAATGCTAAGATGATGAAGAATAAGAAAAAATATTTGAGGCAGATAGAAGAGCATTATTTAAGCCCTTTTGGAAGAAGAGAGCCTAGTGAGTCTAGAGTTCCATTAGAAAGTCCAGTGTAGCCGCAGTAACGAAGACTAAGCATGAGATGGTGAAGTATAGGGGAAGGTGAGACCCAAGGTAGGCCAAAACCATGCATGAACTTAAAGGAGAAAAATAAAGTCTGAAGGATGTTAAGAATGAAAAATAGGATGTGGTCATATTTGACCTTTTTATACATACAAATAATCCAACAATAATATAGAGAGCAGATACAGCAGTTGGGCAGAATGGGTGTGGTTATACCAGTCTGAAATCTGTTGTAGATATAATTGGAGAAATGGTAGCTTTGACTCGGATAGTGGTGGGAGATTCAAGAGCTATTTAGGAGGTAAAAAGGCAGCAGTTGTTGTTACATTGATACTTTGGAAATAGTGTTGAGGAACAGAGAGGAGCCAATTCTGACGTGTGGGTTCTTCTTGGTCAAATGGTGGCAATATCCATTGTGATAGACAATAGTGGATGAGAATCAGGATTGAGGAAATAATATGAGCTTAGTTTTATGCAAAGTGAACTTGAGGTACCTCTGAGAAAACCAAAATTAGTAGGCAATTGAATATATGAATTTGAAACTCAGAGTAGAGGTTCGGACTGGTGCTATGATTGGTAAGTCATCTGGATATGGGTTTTCACTGAAACCACAGGATCTGATGAGAAAACTGGTGCTCATTTTGTCATCTGAACATTCATGCAGCAGCTAAAGTGTGTTGCAATTATTTCTCCAATAGCAAAAAAGATAAGGTACATGAAGTTGGATATTTGCCAGAATCTAACGATCAGGGAAAGTCTGAGATGGTATTTTATTGACATTTCACAAAATTAAAATACAACATTACTTATTATTTTTGTACAAATTTTATTACTTTCTTAATAAATCTTACATTTTTAAAGGTTGTTCATTTGCTCCAAGGATTTCTGTGATCAGATGATCTCACTTTGCAGTCAATTAATAGGGTGCAGTACATTTTAGGCAGTTTATCATGTAGTTTTCATATTATGTTTAATTTTTATGTGATTAAGATTCTTATTACCTTAATTTGGGAGTCCATGCATGTGCCTAAAGCAAATTAAATGTTAGGACAATGAAGAAAGATTGAGATAAACTGGCCTAGTAGAATAACATACCCCCTTTCCTTTTTTTTTTTTTTTTAACATTTAAAAATGTTATTGGATTGAGTATCAGGGCCCTTTCATTCATTCATTGAGTGAATACTGACTTAGGACCTTTTGTGTTCTAGGCATTGAACTATGCACTGGTGAATAAAACATAGTGTATTATGGAAGATGAACGAAGTCTAGTACACTATCTGGTACTAGTTGGTGCTAAGTAAATATTTGCTGACAGAATTAACCTAATGTCTAATATAAAAGTTATGAAGGTTAAAAAAAAGTGTTGTAATAGAGAATGAGGAAAGGAAGCTACCTGGATTAAATGATCAGAATAGGTCTATCTAAAGAGAAAATATTTAAGACATAATTTGAAGACTAATCATGTGCCACTCATGCTTAGCATTCTGGTCAGAGGAAACAGCATGGGCACAGACCCAAAGGCAATGTAATGAAAACAGGTGGTTGTGGTTTCTGCCCAGTATCAACTTACCCTTCTTCTAGCAACTTTACATTTTTTCTCTACACAAACATTTCTGCTCTAATTTCCAGCCAGGTACTTCCATTTAAGGTGACTCCACACCTTGCACCAGATCTCAGGTCTGGCTAATCAGAACACTGCATCTCTCAGGTCAGGGTTTAGACCTCTGACTCAGTAGGACCTGTGAGATATAATTTAATTTTACTGAGACTGGCAAATGGGTGGGGGGCTCTTATCCAATATACTTGAATTTGGGGTGAAAAGAAGGCCAACAGAAAAAAAGTGGAGGACCAACAGAATGGTCAGAAACCAATTATTTATATACTACAGGCAGTTGGGCTAGGTAACACTTGACTCTCAAGAACATGAAGGATCTCTGTGTTGTTGGAACATATTGATGAGGCGGAAGTGGGATTAAAGATGATTCTGGAGATGTAAACGGAGTCCTATTAGTCTTATAGACTTTGATTGTGGAGTTTGGATTTTATTCTAAAAACATTGGAAATAAAGCATTTGAAGTAGAAAAATAACATGCAATTTACATTTTTAAATTACTCTGGGTTTGTAAAGATGGTAAAGACAGAAAACTCTCTTCTCAACAAATAAGAAAACTGGTAAAAATTGTCAGCATTAAAAAATGTAAAACTCTAGAAGTTAACCAAACTTTGCTACACTTTTAGCAATCCAGGGTGGGTTTATTCAGGAAAAACAGTAGAATCTTGGTAAGAACGGCAAGCTTCATGGCACTTTACCTGGCCCTATTCTCATCTTTCCCTCTCTAGCACCACAGTAGCTTTGAAAACATTCTGCAATCATGGTGAAAACCAGCTGTTTGGTAGCTCCCAAAAGAGACAGAACAAAGGTAGAGTTCCTTCTAAGCCTCTAATGAAGAGAATTGTCATTTTACCTGTCTGGTAGTTCCCTTGATGACCCACTTGCAAAGTTGTCTTTATTTGACCTGACTCAGAGCTCTCCCAGTATAAAAACATTTTCCCTGGGGTATTTTTGAAAACACAGGCAATTTATAAACTTTCCAGCTGCCTAAAATTGTGGATAACAACTGGGACAAACAATTGATTAACCAAAGAACTTACCAGGAAAAGCTTAGGGAATGAGATTTCCATAGAGGCTTTGAAAAGTTTCATTATCTTTTTGGAATCTACACATGAATGTGTAGGGCTGTGTGACTGCTCAGGAAAGACCTAAGAAGGCCCTATGCTCTCACCTTGGGATAATCCTGAGTCTCTGTGCAATCAGACAGTGAATGCTAACACAGAGCTATCAACTGCCTGTCTCAGTTTTTAAAGCATTCCCCAACATTCACACAGAACTCCTTCGCAAAGGCATGTAAGAAAATATCTGTTTAATTATTAGCTGACCACTAAGATAACTAAGCAGAGACTTCAGTGGCTACACATGACAAAGAATATGGACTTTAAAGGATTAGTTTACAAAAGTCACAAAACAACGCTTTGGGGAGCAGAAGTGGGGAGGATAATCTGATTTCCAGGACCACCATATTATTTAAAAGATCCAGTTTTCAAAAACACACAAAACCACATATAAAGGTGCAAAGAATCAAGAAAGCATGGTCCATACATAGGAAATAAATCAATGAATAGAAACTGCCCAGGAAACATAGAAGTTGGACCTACTAGGCAAGTACTTTAAATCAGTTATTTCAAATATATCTAGAGAACTAAAAGAAACTGTGTCTAAAGAACTAAATGCAAGTATGAGACTAATATCCCAACAAATAGAGAATATCAATAAAAAGATATAAATTATAAGAAACAGAAATTCTGAAATAAACAGGAAAATAACTGAGATGAAAACTTCACTACATGGGCTGTATTGGGAATTTTCAATACCATACTCAGGTTCAATGATTCAGTAGAAAGACTCACAGAACTCAGACACTGCCATATTCATGGTTACAGTTTATTACAGCAAAAGGATATATCACAGTTGACAGAGGGAGGAGTTACATGGATTAAGTCCAGGAGAAATCAAGTTCAAACTTCCAAGTAACCCTTCCCAGTGGAGTCACATAGGGATGTCCTTAATTGTTCCAGGAGGAATGTGTGACTACACATGTGAAGTGTTGCTAGGAAAGCTCACCGAAGCCTTGGTATCAAGAGTTTTTGTTGGGGGTCAGTCACATAGGCATGCAGTGCCCATATGAATGACCTCAGCTACTCAGACTCCATCCAGTCTTCACCACAGAGCAAAACCAGGCATTCATCATAAATCACTTTTCTAGGATAAACTTATCCAGTCAAACTGGTACAGTGTAGCCCAAGGGCTTAATCATACAAAAACAGGTGTTTACAATAAATACCATAAATACAGCATGGTTCAGGGCTTCGGGCATACAGAAACTCATATGAGGAAGAATATTCCAAGGGCTCAGAGGCTACCTTCCAGGGGCCAGCCAATGGCCAGGCCTGAAGATAAACATTTCTTTGAAATGTGTAAGATTTGAGCAACCCAATCCTCCTGCCCAAAGATTTAACAGCAGATTTGAGCAGGCAGCAGAAAGAATCAGCAAACTTGAATATGGGACAACTGAGGTTATCCAGTCTGAGGAATAAAACGAAAAAAGAATGAAAGTAAATAAATGGAGCTTGAGAGACCTGTCTTATTCCATAAGCATATCATCATATGCATAATGGGAATCTCAGAAGGAGAAGAGAGAGAGAGCAAGAGACAGACAGGAAGAATACATCAAGAAACAATGGCCAAAACTTCCAAAACTTTTATGAAAAACATTACGCATTCAAGAGCTCAATGACCTCCAAGTAGGACAAACTCAGAGATCCACACTTAGACACATCATGATCAAACTATTGAAAGACAAAGACAAAGAAAGCCTCTTGAAAGCAGCAAGAAAAATGTAATTCAATACGTGCAAGGGCTCCTCAACAAGATTAACAGTGGATTTCTCATCAGAAACCATGTAGGCAAGAAGGCAGTGGGATGACATTTTCAAAGTCCTTGGGAGAAAAAATCATCAACCAAAGATTTTATATCCAGCAAACTTATTTTGAAAAACTGAAGAAGAATTTAAGACATTCCCAGATAAACACAAACTAAAGAAATGCTAGAAAGCCTGCCCTACCAGAAATATTAAAGGGAGTCCTACTGACAGTATTAGACAGATCACTGACGCAGAAAATTAACAAGGATATTCAGGACATGAACTCAACACTGGACCAAATGGATCTGATGGACCTCTACAGAACTCTCCACCCAAAAAAACAGAGTATGCATTCTCATCACCACATGGCACATACTCTAAAATTGACCATATAATTGAACATACAACAATCCTCAGCAAATGCAAAACAATGGAAATCATACCAAACACTCTCTGGGACCAGAGCACAAAGAAACAGATGCTAAGACTAAGAGAATCACTCAAAACCATGCAATTACATGGAAATTAAACAACATGCTCCTTAATGACTTTTGGGTAAATAATGAAATTAAGGCAGAAATCAAGAAATTCTTTGAAAATAATTAAAACAAAGATAAAACATACCAGAATCTCTGAGACACAGCTAAGGCAGTGTTAAGAGGGAAATTCATAGCACTAAATACCCAGATCAAAAAGTTGGGAAGATCTTAAATTAACAACTTAACATGACAACTGAAAGAATTCAAGACACAAGAACAAATCAACCCCAAAGCTAGCAGAAGACAAGAAATAACCAAAATTAGAGCTGAACTGAAGGAGACTGAGACATGAAAAACCATTCAAAAGATCAACAAATCCAGGAATTGGGGTGTTTGTTTGTTTGTTTGTTTTGAGATGGAGTCTCCCTCTGTCACCCAGGCTGGAGTGCAGTGGCATGATTTTGGCTCACTGCAAGCTCTGCCTCCCGGGTTCATGCCATTCTCCTGCCTCAGCCTCCCAAGTAGCTGGGACTACAGGTGCCCGCTGCCATGCCCGGCTAATTTTTTGTATTTTTAGTAGAGGCGGGGTTTCACCGTGTTAGCCAGGATGGTCTTGATCTCCTGATCTCATGATCCGTCCGTCTCAGGCTTCCAAAGTCCTGGGATTACACGCATGAGCCACCACACCCGGCTCAGGAATTTTTTTTTTTTTTGAAAAAAATCATTAAGATAGATGGCTGCTAGCTGGACTAATAAAGGAGAAAAGAGAGAAGATCCAAATAAAACAATCAGAAATGATGATGGGAATGTTACCACTGACCACAAAGAAATAAAACTAACCATCAGAAACTACTACGAATACCTCTATGCACACAAACTAGAAAATGTAGAAGAGATGGATAAATTCTTGGACACATATATCCTCCCAAGACTGAATCAGAAAGAAATTGATTCCCTGAACAGACTAATAACAAGCTCCAAAACTGAATCAGTAATAAGTAGCCTACCAACCAAAAAAAGCCCTGGACCTGATGGATTCACAGCCAAATTCTACCAGATGTACAAAGAAGAGCTGGTATCATTCCTATAGAAATTATTCCAAAAAATTAAGGAGGTGGGACTCCTCCTCAACTCATTCTATGAGGCCAGCATAATCCTGATACCAAAACCTGTCAGAGACATAAAACAAAAAAGAAAACTGCAGGCCAATATCCTTGATGAATATTGATGCAAAAATCCTCAACAAAATACTTGCAAACTGAATCCAGCGCACATCAAAAAGCTAATCCACCACAATCAAGTAGGTTTCATCCTGGGATTCAAAGTTGGTTCAACATACACAAATCAATAAATGTGATTAATCACATAAACAAAAGTACAGACAAAAACCATATGGTTATCTCAATAGATGCAGAAAAGGCTTTCAATAAAATTCAACACCACTTCATATTAAAAACTCCCAATAAACTAGGTATTGAAGGAACATACTTCAAAATAATGAGAGCCATCTATGACAAACCCACAGCCAACATTATACTGAATGGGCAAAAGCTGAAAGCATTCTCCTTAAAAATCAGTACAAGACAAGAATTCCCTCTCTCATCACTCCTATTCAAGATAGTACTGGAAGTCCTAGCCAGAACAATCAAGCAAGAGAAAGAAATAAAGGGCATCCAAACAGGAAAAGTGGATATCAAACTATTCTGTTTGCAGACAAACATGATTCTACATCCTGAAAAACCCAATAGTCTCAGCCCAAAAGCTCCTTTCACTAATAAGCAACTACAGCAAAGTTTCAGGATACAAAATCAATGTACAAAAATCACTAGCATTTCTATACACCAACAACAGCCAAGCCAGGAGCCAAATCAGAAAGGCAATTCCATTCACAATTGCCAGAAAAAAGGATAAAATACCTAAGATACAGCTAATCAGGGAGGTGAAAGATCTCTACAATGAGAATTACAAAACACTGCTCAAAGAAATCAGAGAAGACACAAACAAATGGAAAAACTTCCCATGCTCATGGACGGGAAGGACCGATATTATTAAAATGGGCATACTGCCCAACGCAATTTACAGATTCAGTGCTATTCCCATCAAACTACCAATGACACTCTTCACAGAACTAGAAAAAAAACTATTTTAAAATTCATATGGAACCAAAAAAGAGCCTGAATAGCCAAAGCAGTCCTAAGCACCAAGAACAGTGCTGGAGGCACTGTGTTACCTGATGCCTCAAACTATACTACAGTGCTACAGTAACCAAAACAGCATGGTGCTGGTACAAAAACAGGAACACAGACCAATGGAACAGAATAGAGGATATAAGACTGCACCCCTATGACCATCTGATCTTCAACAAAGCTGACAAAACATGCAATGGGGAAAAGACTCCCTATTCAATAAATGGTGCTAGGATAACTGCCTAGCCATATGCAGAAGATTGGAATTTGTCTCCTTCCTTACACCATATAAAAAATCAACTCAAGATGGACTAAAGGCTTAAATATAAAACCCCAAATTATAAAAACCCTGAAAGACAACCTAGGCAATACCATCCTGGGCATAGGAATGGGCAAAGATTTCATGACAAAGACACCAGAAGCAATCAAAACAAAAGCAAAAAAATGACAAATGGGATCTAATTAAACTTAAAGAGCTTCTGCACAGCAAAAGAAACTATCAACAAAGTGAACAGACAACCTACAGAATGGGAGCAAATACTTGCAAACTATGCATCTAATAAAGGTCTAATATCCAGCATCAATAAGGAACTTAAACAAATTTACAAGAGAAAAACAAACAACCCCATTAAAAAGTGGGCAAAGGATATAAATTGACACTTTTCAAAAGAACACATACATGTGGCCAAGCATATGAAGAAAAGTTCAATATCACTGATCATTAGAGAAATGATGAATGTACAAAAATCACTAGCATTCCTATATACCACCACCAACCAAGCCAAGCCAACAAAAAAACATAATCCAACTATATGTTGTCTTCAAGAGACACAACTGAGATTCAGAGACTCAAATAAGTTGAAAGTGAAATTACAGAAGAAAAGATATTCCAGGAAAATGTTGACCAAAAGAAAGCTGGAATATGATATCAGAAAAATAAACTTTAAGGTAAAAATTATTAGCCAGGCATGGTGGCTCATGTCTGTAATCTCATTCACATTTAGGAAATCTAGAGAGTCCCAGTAAAATACTCCAGGAGAAGATCAACCCTGAGACACATAATCATCAGCTTCTCCAAGGTCAAAATGAAAGAAAAAATGTTAAGGGCATCCCATGGATTTCATGGATATTAACTTCATTAGACAAAAGCCACAATCCCAGATGTTTTTGAGAGAATTCCTTCTCTATTTTGGCCTCCTGCTGAGGGACACCACTTCTATGTTTCCTAGAAGCCCCCTAGTTTGGGAAGATCTGTAAGGCACAAACTTAATCTCTTGCAAATGTCATTTATACAACTTCATCTTCTGACCATTTTTTTTTTTTTTGAGGTTTTAGTAAAAGGTTGTACAGTCATACACTTGACCATCTTTTTGTGCCACACTTTTGGCAGCCATTTCTGATTCTAGGCTTATTTTGCCACACAGAGAAGCTGGAATTTTAAAAGTCATCCAGTCTTGGTTACTTTTTGTCTCCTTTCTCTCACTTTTTACTGTAAGCAAACCAGGCATATCTTCAATACCTTGCTTGGAAATATCTTTAACTACGTATCTAAGTTTACCATTTGTGAGTTCTGTTTCCAGGAAACAATTTCCCTAAGCTTTCTACCACTACATGACAAGAACCTCCCTTCATGTAGGTTCAAATACTGTTTCTTATTTTCTTTTGAGCCCTCACTGGCAGCACCCTTAAAATCCAAATTTCTACTAAAAATAAGTTCAAGGCAGTTTAGGTTTTCTGGATCAAGCTCCTCATAATTATTACATCCTGCAGGGGTGGGGGCAGTGCGGAACCTGTCAACTAAGAATTCTATGTCTGGCAAAACTGTCCTTCAAAAATGGGGGTGGGAAGTGTGTGACTGGACATGGTGGCTCATGCCTGTAATCCCAGTACTTTGGGAGGCTGAAGCAGGAGGATTGCTTGAGCCCAGGAGTTCAAGATCAGCCTGGGCTACATAGGGAGACCTTGTCTCTACAAAAATTAAACAATTAGCCAGGCATGGTGGCATGGGCCTGTGGTACCAGCTACTTGGGAGGCTGCAGTGGGAGGATCACTTAAGCCTGGGAGGTCAAGACTGCAGTGAGCTGTGATTGCACTATTGCTTTCCAGCCTTGGTGACACAGTGAGACTCTGTCTAAAAAGAAAAAAAAAAAAAAAAGGAGAATTTAAGACATTTCCAGATAAAGAAAAGCTGAAGCATTCTCTTACCAATAGACCTGTCTTACAAGAAATGCTCAAGGTAGTACTTCAGGGTAAAGGACTCTCAACAGTAACTCAAAGCCATATAAAGAAATAAAGATCTCCAGTAAAGTTAAATACATCAGCAAATAAAAAAGCTGATACTATTGTAATTTTGCTTTATATCTCCACTTTTAATTTTCTACATGATTTAAAAGACAACCATGGGCTGGACATGTGACTCATTCCTGTAATCCCAGCACTTTGGGAGGCCAAGGTGGTTGGATCACCTGAGGTCCAGAGTTGGAGATCAGCCTGGCCAACATGGTGAAACCCGGTCTCCACTAAAAATAGAAAAATTAACTGGGCATGGTGGTGCACGTCTGTAGTCCCAGCTACTCAGGAGGCTGGGGCAGGAGAATCACTTGAACCTGGGAGGTGGATGTTGCAGTGAGCCGAGATCATGCCACTGCACTCCAGCCTGGGTGACAGAGGGAGACTCCATCCCCCCGCCAAAAAAAGACAAATTTGTAAAACATAAATCTATATTATTGGGCACACGATGCATAAAAATGTAATTTGTGACATCAATAACATAAAAGGGGATACAGTTGTATAGAAGCAGAGATTTTGTATGCTATTGCAGTTATCAATTCAAATTTAGGATGTTAAATATGAATACCATAGTAATAACAAAGAAAATAATTATAGAAGGTACACAAAAAGAAGTGAGAAGGGAATCAAAACCTTTCACTACAGAAAAATCAACTAAACATGAAAAGAGGCAGTAGTGGAGGAAATAGGGGACAAAAAAATAATAAGACAGGCAGAAAATAATTAATAAAATGGCAGAAGTAAATCCTCGTATTTTAAATGGATTAAACTTTGCAATGAAAAGTCAGAGATTGGGCCAGGTGCGGTGGCTCACGCCTGTAATCCCAGCACTTTGGGAGGCTGAGGCAGGCGGATCACAAGGTCAGGAGATCAAGACCATCCTGTCTAACATGGTGAAACCCTGTCTCTACTAAAAATACAAAAAATTAGCTGGGCATGGTGGCGGGCACCTGTAGTCCCAGCTACTTGGGAGGCTGAGGCAAGAGAATAGCATGAACCCGGGAGGCAGAGCTTGCAGTGAGCCGAGATCACACCACTGCACTCCAGCCTGGGTGACAGAGTAAGACTCTGTCTCAAAAAAGAAAAAAAAAAAAGTCAGAGATTGGTAGAATGGAGTTTTTTTAATGATACAACGATATGCTGTCTACAAGAGACACACTTCATGCCTGGTGTGGTGGCTCACACCTGTAATCCTAGTACTTTGGGAGGCTGAGGTGGGAGGACCACTTGAGGCCCGGATTTTTAGACCAGTCTGGACAACATAGATAGACTCCTATCTATACAAAAAATTTAAAAATTGGCCAAGCACAGAGGTGCTAAACTACTTGGGAGGCTGAGACAGGAGGATTACTTGAGCCCAGGAGGTTGAGGCTGCAGTGAGCCAAAACTGCACCACTGCTCTCCAGCCTGGGTGACAGAGTGAGACCCTGTCTTTTTAAAAACAAAATATACTCAGATTTCTGAAATTTTTTTTTCACTTAGCAATATTCCTTGGGATTTTTCCCTATAAATACATAATCTCCCCATTCTTTGTTAGCACTACATGGTGTTATATAGCATGGTTACCACATCATCAATCCACTATTCCTTTATTGATGATGTTAGTTCCAATTACAATTATCAATTGTACAGTCAATTACAATTACAAGTAATACTGCAGTGAATGACCTTATTTATATACCCTTTTCCACCAATATGAGTATAAGTTACCAGATGTGGTATATGCATTTTTTAATATGTATATCTAGACTGCCCTCCATAGGGACCCTAGGAATTTATATTCCCACAGCAATGCATCTGTGCTGTCCTGCCATAACCTTCACTCAACACAGTGTCTTATCAACTTGTATCTTATCGTATATTTCAAAGGCATTAATATTTCCCTTTCTGTGAATAGTTTGCTTATACTGCTTCCCCTCTTAGTCCATTTGGGCTGCTATAATATATACCAGAGACTGGGTAGTTTATGAACAACAGAAATTTATTTCTCACAGTATGGAAGGCTAGGAAGTACAAGATCAAAGTGCTGGTAGAGTTGATGTCTGGAAAGGGTCCATTTCCTGATTCCTAGATAGCCATTTTCTGTGTCCACACATGGTGGAAGGGGCAAGGAAACTCTCTGGGGCTTCTTTTATAAGGGCAATAATCCCATTCATGAGGGTTTGCCCTCAGGACCTAATCATCTCCCAAAGGCCCAATCTCCAAATACCATCACATTGGTGATTAGGTTTCAACATATTAATTCATACACATTCAGACCATAGCACCCACTTCACTTATCTGTCGTTTGTTCTTTTATCATCAATGCCTAGGAAGTCTTTACATTTTGGGGAGATTAGCCTTTTGTCTATAATATAAGATACAAATGCCTTTTCTCAGTCTATCTTTGGATTTACTTGTTTTTGCTTTGCAAAAATTTTTTTCTAACATAGCAGATTTTGTCAATCTTTTATGACTTCTGGATTTTGAATAGTTTTTGAATAAAGAATACTTTATCATTCCAAAGTAATACAGGATATCATTTGTATTTTTTCTATACTTTTATGATGTATGGTAGGGATCCAACTTAATTTTGTTTAAAATGACAACCTTCTTGCCAGTATTATTTATTAAACAATCCATCTTTTTTGTAACTGACTTGAGTTGCTACCTATAGCATATACTAAATTCATAGACATGTATGGGACGATTTATGTACTTTTTACTCTGTATCACTAGCTATTCATGCATTAGCTCCACACAGTTTTAATTAGAGAGGCTTTCTAATATATTATTTCATACAATGTTATAAAATAATACATTTTTATTTCTGGTGAAAGTACCCTCCCATACTGCTCTTCTTTTAAATCAGAGGTTTTCTTGCAATTCTTATTTTTCCAAATACAATTCAGAATCAGCTTATTTCTTAAAAAACCTGTTGATATTCATGTTGGAATCATATGAACTTTATACGTTAATTTAGGATAAATGTTAAAGGAATATATATTTCCATTTCCTTATAATGTATAAAGGAACTCTGTAAGAATACATAAAAAGCTAGTAAGACTGGCTGTGTGTAGTTGGGGAGTAGTAGTCATGGGAACTAGGTAGATGAGGAATTGTAGAGGAAAAATAAAACTTTTCACTATCTGCCCTTAATATTTTATTTTTGAACCATCTAAATTTATTCCCTATTCAAAAATACATACATAACAAGGAAATAATAAAGGACCTTGCCTTTGAAAAAAGAAGCTAGCAGGCATAGGCTGGCAACAGTAGACATTCCTATTTCAGTTCTCTCCACATAGCTTCCCTGGTATTTTAAAGATGACCACAATGTTGAGAGACAGGGGCTTACAAACTCTCTGGTGTCTTCTTTCTGAAATCCCCTTACTGCACTGGTATTTTCAAGGCTAGTACCTTGCCAAAAATGAAGTATACACATGCTTCATGAGGTAAAAAAGGGGCTCATGGCAATTTTCATTTTTGTTTCAATAATATGTCTTTCTTTTACATGGCCCTACTCAGATATTAGAATTCTGAAGAAAGATAAGGTAACCACTGGTATGACAGAAGCAGGGCATAGGAGGCTCAAATCAATAGAGAATAAATAAAAACTAGGCCATTTCAACATGTTAGAAAAGAGAAAAATAAATCACTATAATAAAGAGCAGTCAACAAAAAATACATATTAAACAAGATGGATGAGTTCTAGCCTCTGACAATCACGAAGCAAAATCTGGTATGTGGGTGTGAACTCACAGACTTGGTTCCAATAGGAAATAAATCTGTAACAGAAAGATTAAAAAAAAAAAAGGATGGAAGCAGTAAGACTAAACATCACAGTTAGCAGAATAAATGTGAAAGTGTGTAACACCTCTGGTAAATATCTGGAGTATAGCCATTCTGTTTGGATGATTGAGAGTACAAATTCAAGTATAAACTGCTAGAGGATCCACCAGGGTTAGGAGAAATATTTCTGCATGCTAAAAAGCCTAACCAGAAGAGCCATCATACTGCCACACCATGATGAGCCGAGGGGTAGTTAAGACCTGGCTAAGGTTCTCCTCAGGAAGAAACTGAATTTGCTCTTAATCACAGACAAATGGTCAATTGAGGGCCCAGATTTCTGCTCCATATAGCACAGACTCAATAATTTTACTCTGTTAAATGTTTAAGGAAGGTGTAACCAAAAGCCCACTATGGCACATTTGAAAAAAAGAGAGAGAAAAGTCAATAAAGCTTCCATTAGAATGCCTAGCTTTAAGCAGTGTTGCTTCCTGATGCACCCTCCAAGTTAAACTATTTATGTAATGGAGACCAAAGTAATGGAATTAAAGTACTATATGGAATCATTCAACTATGAAACAGCCATAAGTTGGAGAAAACCTGTGTTTAAAAAAAATTGTAAGAGTTCTTTATGTAAGGATGTTAAAAGTGGTCTATTTGTCAAGTTTTTTTTTTCAATTTGACTCTTAATTTTGTTTGCAGCATTTCTTTTGACTAAGAAATATTTCTTTTTTATAAGTATTATAATCACATTCATTTTGCTTTCTTTTGTTTATATGCTTGAGCTATTCTTTATCAGAAATTAGATAAAAATTAAATTATATTTTGTTTCCCTCCTTTCCTTGCTTATAAAATTCTATGTACACTGTACTAAGAATTTTCACATATACATGATTCTATTCCCAGTTTTATTTCTGGTGTTTTGATGAAGCCCATGAATTTAATTGTAAATTTCTGCATTCATTTGTTATTAACTATAAATGCTCACCTCATTCTTTGTGGTTGACATGAAAATATGCTGCTCAGCTCTCCCTTCAAAAAACCTATTGTGAGGAAGTCCTGGCTCTCCCTGGGCTGCTGATCCCAGCCAATGACTGGGCATGGAAGCGGTACTAGAGCCAGCTCATTCCCGCTCAATGATTGACACTTCCAATGGTAATCTTGGTTTTGGAGCTCCCCATCATCCTAGCCAAGACTTTCTTGAAACTACATTGCATTCTGAAGCTCTTCTTACCCAATTCTCTGACTACCCCTGGTACCTTTCCCCTTTATCCTTCACAAGTATTTTCCTTAGCAAATGTATTGCACATATGATTCTGTCTGCTTCTAGGGAACCCAAAGTGACATAGTTGGCACCTGGAATGGTCTGAGAATGTATATGGTTAGATGAGGTTAGGAGACTGGCTCACTCATGCTCGGCAGGCAACGAGAAGCCCTTACTAAGCAGAATGTGAATCATGAAGTCCTTGGGATAGGTGATAGCTTAATTGCTGAAATTTCCATTAGTGGTGACCTGGGAGAATGTCCTGGTGGAGGGAAGCATCCTTACTAATGTGATAATTGAGGCATTTGAAGGTTTTGGGAGGAACAGCACCTACAGGGACAGTTAAGTCAGTGGGTTATTGCTCACTTGTATGACTGTCCTGTAGATGGAGGATGAGAAGCTGAAGGCAGTTAACAGACATAAGCTAAGTTTTACAGCCACAGGACCTTTTAGGACGCTTACAAAGAGGAACTATACCTTCAGTGGGTGGTAAGTTCAGGATTTAATAACTAGGGTTACAGAGCACCAGAGGTGTTTAAATGCTCAGCCAAGGCAGGTCTATTACGCTAAATTTAGGACCCTTATGTGAAGCCTGGGACTCTGAAACATGGGTTGGGAATATACACAGAACTAGTCTTGCTATTCACAATGGGTTGATAGGCCCCAAAATAATAGAGGCCAGGTAGTGGCACATAAGTGTCAGAGTTGCTTTACCATTAGAGTCTTGGGGGTAGCCAAAGGGTCTTAATGGGAAGGAGTAGTATACATAGATAATAGAATATGGTGTCTCTAGGGGAAAAATAGATGGGCAGCGAATTACTGTGCTACTTAACATATACAACCAGAAGGCAAGAATAGAGGAGCAGGAGGCTGAGAGCTGTAGCCCAATAAAGCACTGCAATTCCTTGCTGATTTCCCAGATCTGAGACTATGTTCAGATCTGGAACCCATTACCTAAAGAGTTAGCCAATTTCCCAAGAGAAAGAACCCTGCAATGCAATGACAAAGATATAGAGTACTGCAAAGCTTTCTTCAGTTCTTCCCTCATAGAGATTTACAGACATTTACTAATGTGATTGTTGCTGTTAAAAGGAGAGTAACCAGCCTTTTTGACAACTATTTGACATTGATACATGAAGACCCAAAGTATTTTCATGGCCTTCAGAGTGGGCGCACGCAAAGACTAAGTAGTAAATGGGGTTCTGGCCAAAGTAGGTTCACTATGTCCATGGATCCATCCTGTTGGACCATGCACCCCATTTACTACTACTTTAGCCAGGACCCTGCAGTCATTTCCTGAATGTATAATTGGAATTTATATACTTGAAAATTGAAGTTAGCCTCAATTGGGTCCTTTGCCTGTGGGGCAAGAGCTATCATAGAGGATGAAGGCCAAGTGGAAGACTTTGAAACTGCCTCCCTAACTGCCAAAGACGGTAAATTACAATTTCTTATCCCAGGGGTGATGGAAGGTATTAGTGCAACCATTAAAGATCCAAAGAATGCAGGGATAGTGGTCCCTATCATATCACTTTAATTCATTAGTCTGGCCCTGCAGAAACCAGATGGATCTTGAGGAATATCAGTACACTACAACAAGCTCAACCAAGCAGTAGCCTGGACCACAACTGTTGTGCCAGACACAGTTTCATTGCTAGAGCAGAGTAGTAAGGCCTCAGGTACATGTCTACTGGCTTAGTGAATGTGTTCTTTCCATTCTAATCAGAAATTGTGTGCATTCACATGAAAGAGACAAAAATACTCATTTGCTTCTTCGCTATGGTAACTCTTTTGCTGTGTCATAAAATAGTCTGAAGAGATCTAAACTATCTAAACATCCCATAGGATATTATGTTGATTATGTTGAGGACATCATGCTCATAAACTGGTTATCACACTGGAGGTCTTGGTGAGACATGCGTACTCTAGAGTATGGGAAATAAGCCATTAAAAGACTAGTAGTCTTGCCACTTAAGTACACTTTTTAAGAGTCCAGCAGTCAGGGCTATGACAAGACATGTCCATCAAAATAAAAAACACATTGCTGCATCTTGTATTCCCTACTGCAAAGAAAGAAGCTCCTAGTGCCTAGTAGGCTCTTTGGGTTCTGGGGGCAACACATTCCACACTTAGGGATACTGCTCTGGACATATACCAAATGATAAAAATGGTAGCCAGCTTTCAGCGGGGGCGTGGGGGAGGGGGGCTAAATGAGGGCTGTGCTATTAATGAAAAATGTATGGATTTGATAAAACAAAAAATGTAAGAAATAACAGTCAAAACAGAAGACAACTGGCAACTGGGAAAAGTGTTTGCAAAATTAGAGTTTTCATCCTTATTACACAAGGAATACTTCTAAATTACCAAGAAAAAGACAAGCCCTTAAGTTGCACAAGGATAAAAAAAAATAAGCAGGCATTTTAAGAAAAAAATTGAAAGTGGTAAGTAATTAGTTATGGCTTCATTCTCTAATTGACCAAACCACCAAAAAATTGTTTTTCCTCAAATTCCTTAGCTATGTATAAGAGTTTTCCAGAGCTTAACTATTATCTCCACAGAGGCCTTTTCTGACCCTTGCATGGAAGACGCCTCTTTAATGTTGCCTCCGTTTAGGATATTTGGAAAAGGGGGTAAGGAGGGAGGTAGTATAACCACTTTTCTTGTGTGGTCCACTCAACGTCTTCAGGTTCCATGTCCCTTCTTGCTACTCATTTCTCCAGCAATTTAGTCACTACTCACTTTGTCATACATCATTGGAGATTCATAGAGCAGAACCCCCCTAAAGGTGATACTGCTGTTTCTACAAAGGCCTTTGTATGTAAGATAGGGTTGAGCATAAGGAAGATCTTACTCCTTCTAGGTACCATCATATCAGGTTGTTCCGGTGTCTCTTATTTTTCTGAAGGGCCAGGAAAACTAAGCTGTAAAATACAGGAATTTTCCTGAATCCTCCAGCATTCTCTGGCATAAAAAAAAAGGGGGTCAGCTGAGACTACATCCCAGTAGGAGACCACCTGGTCTAAAATGAAACCACTCCCAGACTGGAACATGTTGACATGGCAGTAAGAAGCATCCATAGAAGAGGTTATTGCTACGTCATAAGGGCAAGTGTGTACCAACACCTTGAGTTTGCAGCCTGACATCTGGTCCACAGAGCAGCAATTTCAAAAGAGGAAACAATTGGCAGTTAGAGAAGGAAATGGCATAGCTACCATTGGAATTTTTGGTAATCTCAAAGAAAAAAAAAAGGAAACTGTATCGACTGAAAAGAAACACATGAAGTGAACAGGATAAGGAGAACTTTCGGCCTTATTTTCATAAATTGCAGAGAACTGTGAACATTTGTTATAGGGACATTTCGTGAGCAACTCAGGGACCCTAATGAGGAGATAAATGACTTGGAAGACTAGGATTTTCAAACATAACCAGTGAGGCAAAAATATTACTACTACCATTTGTATATACTATGACTCTTGATCATCCTGACTGGTGTGGTCTGAAGAAACACTTAGGACTACCAGACTGCCTCATTTCAAAAAAGAATGTAAGATGGCTTATAAGGCTAGGCAAAATATAGCCAAATAACATCATCTGAAGTATATGAGAAGGAAAAAGGGATCAAGAATGAGACTAATATAAACAATACCAAAGTGCCCTGTTTTCTAGATGGAGCACAAATTTAGCTCTTGCTTCTTATCGGCAAACATAAAAAGCCAACTCACAATGTACCTAAGATAGTAGCAAATGAACTGTTTACAAGAGGTGCAAATATTACAGTAAGGTCAGAATAACTTCAGACTCCACAAAAAGAGCCCATTGTGTGATGTAATCAACATTCCTACAGTTGACACAATGATGAGTTTCATAGAATTGTTTATAGAATGTCCTGCAATGCTAACCAATGGCTTCAAACTCAAGAGAAATTCTAGGGGTAAGTCAGGAAGTTACTGTCCAGGCGGTCTTTGCTAGGTGCTTGCCAGACTTAATTCTCAGGTACATTCTAAAGTATCTGAGGAAGTGATAAAAAGCAAATCCCTAACATTCCTTTATAAATACTGTTAACCACAGTCAAACTCACAGAAGATAGATATTAGCTAGCTGACGGTTCATGACTGGAGTTCAGCCACCCTAGGGTTCTAAGAAAAACTGTCTTAATGAGACATTAAGCTGGTGTAGGAGTGACATCTTTTAGGCAAACTTGAGTTTAATAATCAGTAGTTTCTGAGAGAATACTCTAGAGTTTGACCGAGGTTCTCTTTAGGAAAAAAAAAAATTGAATCTGTGCTCTCACACAGACAGATGGGCCATTTAGGTTCCAAAGTTCTGCTCAATATAACCTAGTCTTAATTAATTTTAGTTTGGAAAATGTTTAAGGAAGGCATAACAGTGGCCATTAAAAAATCTTTGCCCTCCCCGCAATTCCCAAAAAGCATCCATAGAAAGCCTAACTTTGAGTACTGTGGTTTCCTGATGTTCTTCCAAGTTAAATTATTTATGTAATGAACATTGAGGTATCTGAATGAAGTGACCTTCTGTGTAGAATTAGGAACCAAGTGAAATTTGGAAAACAGCTTGGTGTTTCTAAACTATAAGAGCTCTCTATATACCCAGGATATTAATTTTTTTTTGAGGCAGAGTTTCGCTCTTGTTGCCCAGGCTGGAGTGCAATAGCGTGATCTCGGCTCATTGCAACCTCTGCCTCTGGGTTCAAACGATTCTCCTGCCTCAGCCTCCCAAGTAGCTGGAATTACAGGCCCCCACCACCACACCTGGCTAATTTTTTGTATTTTTAGTAGAGATGGGGTTTTGCCATATTGGCCAGGCTGGTCACGAACCAGGACATTAAATTCTCATCAAATATTAATGTTCTAAAATGTTCCCACTTGTATTTTTTCTATTATGTTTTTGGGCATACTGAAATTTTAAATTTTCACGTAATAGATGTAGCAATTCTGGATTTACCTTTTAGCCTTAACAGGTCATTTCTCATCTAAGAATGAGATGTTCACCTACATTTTCTACTGTTTATTTTACATGTCTTTAAACCTATTAATCATTTTATATTTCTTTTGGTATACAGAGTAAGAATGGGAATTTATCACTCTCACCCCTCAATTAAGCAATAGTCCCAGGGCTATTTAAAGAATATTTCTACCTTTCCCCAGTAATGTGAAATCAAACCATTACCTTATTCTAATATCTTTTGATAAAATCTGTTTTTATGCTGATTCTATCCATTAATCTATATATTCTTGCATCCATTCCACACTGATATTAGTGTAAATAATATATCCAAATATACAACTTTACAAATCCCACTTCTCCCGTTACTCTAAAACTTTTCCTGGATATTCTGGCCCAGGTATTACTTCTTTATAGTTTCCATTTTTAATTTTGTAGTCTCTGAGAAAGGGCTCCAGTTCCATGTGCCTTATGCATTACGTACTTTGGAAGTACTGGATTCCTCAGACTTCAACTAAATGTTTTTCCATCACTTTGTCTCTCCCAGTGACAGGGTCTAGAGGTGGGGATAAAATGGAAGGGGTCAAGGAAAGAAAGTGCTGAATTCTTAGTTCTAGTTTTCTCTCAACACCAGAAATAACTGCCACTATTTTCTCCTGACTAACCTAAGAAAAACACATCATGCCACTCCCAATATTAGTTATCTTCAAAAACCTGTCTAGTCTAGTCTTATGAAGGAAGGCATATTCATTCCGTCTATCAGCAGGACTTTGACCCTGTGACTTGTTAAAAACAAAACAAATACTAACCTACTTATGAAAGAGCTACAGTCAAAAATCAAGTACTAAGGATGGATAGAAAAGAGAAAGACAAAGCCTAAGAATTAAAACAACAAAACAAACCAACAAAACTGCCAGATATAGAATCAAGCTTTATTTTTACTGAATGATAGTATAAGCTTTTAATATAACATAGGCATGTATAATATTGAAGATATTTTAATTTGAAAATAAAGGGAAAATACATTTAATTATTCCATTTTTCTTAGTTTTACTTTGAATTCCAAATAAGAATTTTAATACATTTTTGGCTGGGCACGGTGGCTCACGCCTATATCCTAGCACTTTGGGAGACCGAGGAAGGTGGATCACCTGAGGTCAGGAATTCGACAACAGCCTGGCCAACACGGTGAAACCCCGTCTCTACTAAAAATATAAAAATTAGCCAGGCATGGTGGTGCACACCTGTAATCCCAGCTACCTGGGAAGCTGAGGCAGGAGAATTGCTTGAACCTGGGAGGCAGAGGATGCAGTGAGCCGAGATTGCGCCATTGCACTCCAGCCTGGGCAAGAGAGCGAGACTGCCTCTCAAAACAAAACAAAACAAAAGCAAAACAATTTTAGTATCTTTTTTACTAAGATGTAAAATGTCAGGTGCTCAGGACAATTTTACTGCTGAATCCCTGAAAGACAAAGGGTATTTTATTCCATTTCATATTTCCCCCAAATTGTTCATAATGGTTACTTTTGAACATAAATGTCTGCGTAATTGTAAAAGAAATTATTCCATATATATACATATATATATACACACACACACACACACATACACACACACACACACACACACACACACAGACATATATACAGAATTTGGGTATTCCAATATTGTTATATTTAGGTTCTGGTACCACATTGAATGCCAGTTAAATAGCTTCCATTTGTGTCTCCTTGTTTCTACTATGACTATTAATATGGAAAGGCAGAACAAATAGTGCCATTAAATTTTTGTAAGATTTAAAATCAGAAAATCAGGCCAGGCACAGTGGCTCACGCCTGTAATCCCAGCACTTTGGGAGGCTGAGGCAGGTGGATCGCTTGAGGCCAGGAATTGGAGACCAGCTTGGCCAACAGGGTGAAACCCCAACTCTACTAAAAATACAAAAATTAGCCAGGTATGGTGGCAGGCACCTGTAATTCCAGCTACTCAGGAGGCTGAGGCAGGAGAATTGCTTGAACCCAGGAGGCGGAGGTTGCAGTAAGCCAAGATCACGCCACTGCACTCCAGCCTAGGTGACAGAGTAAGACCCTGCCTCAAAAAATTAATTAATTAATTAAATAAAATAAGAAATCTATTCTGGAAATCAGTCATCAAACACCACAATTTTGGGAATATAGTTTGGACGACCACTTCCTTTTCTGGAAACCATTTTTAGAATAAGAAAATGAGCCAGAATACACCTTGCCAAATAAGTTTCCCCAAATCACAATTATGATTTGGGGAATGAACACAAGAATGAACAAATTAAGTCATAAATGTATGCAATCATTTTTGAATGTCTTTGCAGAGAAATATTCAAAGTGGTAAGATGGATTGAACTGCCAACCAAAATTGTCAATCTTTATTTCAGTCTTCACTATTAAGCTAAAAAGGTAATTTTTCTCTTGAATGATGTGAAGAATTGAATTTCTTTCAACTGTTCCAAAAATCTGTAAGTACAATACTACCTAATCTCCTGTTATGCAACAGACTCCCATGTGGTACATCCAATTCATTACACAAAACACTGAATTGTCTGCAATGCAAGCCATGGAACACATCCAGTTTATGATATCAATGACTATATCCAGGATGCATTCCCGTTTTAAGGTTTTAGTATAAAGTCATTCGAGAATAGAATAATAAATGAACTTGGGTCCCACATCCTTGTAAAACATTATTAATTTAGATGGGCTGAATTTTTAATGCTTCTATTGGCTACCCACAAAAATGGGAAGTTTTGGCAAAGGAAAGGAGGAACGATTGAGGTAGAATTCAGTCAAGCAAGTACCTTTTAAAGCCAGATGGTAGATTTCTGACTGTGATTTCTATTACAGAAAAATCTGAATTTAGAGAACCTCTGTGGTTTTATCTCAACTTTAGCATATCTAAACATCCTGTTAAAAATCTTATTCTAAAGAATGGTATGATTGAGTAATGCAAATGGTCAGTATCTGAGTCGATGCAGAAAATAAAATATTAAGACATTTACCGTATATATAGGTGCTATCATTGTGGCAACTTCCACAATAACCTTTTAAGACTAATTAAGAAAATCAAATATAAAAAATATTTTTAACTACAAATAAATTATTTTTAAATTATACAGATTATTATATAATTATATGTAAAAAATAGTGCTTTATATTAAATAAGAACAAGTGATGAAGAAACAGGGCTCACCAGGTAAGTTTTAGGCTTCAGTTCAAATAGGAGAGAAAAGCATATATTCACTGCGGCATCCCTACTGAAGACATAAGTGCTTCCAAAATACACAGGGAGACTGGTCATCTTTCTTTTTCAATTGTTTCATCAAGAAGAATCTTTTTCAGGTGATAAAACTTACAAGCTAAATTAAAATGCACTCTACTCATTGGCAAGCTACATGAACAAGAATAATGTGATCACAGTACTTGGAAGTTTTTGATTTATAACTATACTATTCTCTACTTATAAGGCTGCAGTCTAGGAGGCAGAGCAATGAATCATTACAATTGTCTATCTGGGAAATGTCAAAAGATTAAGTAAGGGCAAAAGAAGAGAGAAAAGGAAAGAACACACATCTCTGTCCAAGAAATATTCCTCTATTAATGGAGGTATATCAGTAGCACATAAATCCAGTGCTAAATAAATAATAAGTACATTTTTAAAATCTTCAAGCAAAATCACTAATGAACCATAATGCTTAAACTTCCTTGGTGGAAAGCAGATGACCCTCTGAAGCTCTGATAACTAAATGATTCCTTATCCAACTATCATTTGGTAACCTACCCCTACATATTAAGCAATTTAAAAAGCAAATTTAAGTTGAGGAAATAATTAGATATTTGAACCAATCATGAATGGATCCAGCATTTTTGAAAAAGAACACATATAGTTTAATTGATACTTTGCCAATACAAAAATAAGCATCCACAGAATGTTTATTTACTGTTTAAATTACTCCATATTTTCATATACTGTGAACAGAAAATATATTTTACCCCACATATAGTAAAAGCAAACAAGTGCAATCTTTCAAACATTAAAATCATAATCAAATCTGTACAACAGATAAATAAATGTATACCTCTAACAGTTAGCTTGTAAAAAAAAATCAAACAAAAAGCAAAAACATTTATTGCCCAAATTCACCAGTTTACTTAAAATTCTACTTATGGTAATACAGCTCAATCGTAACAACTTGCATGTTTACTACACTGCACAAGTTTAGACTGATAAATATTTAAAATAGGAGGTGGGTAATAGGAAATACCAAATGGCTATAAAGAGCTTTCCAAATATTGGAAATAATATACGAAAATTAATTAGTGGGGATAACATATTAAATGGATCCACAGGGTAACTGGTATTACACTGGTATAGCTTGAGGAAAGGAAACAGGTGAACGTTTGGATTGGAAAAAAAATTTTGGCTTTTTTATAAAACGAAGCAACAATAACATCAACAATGACAAAACCCTGTCATGGAGCCTCAGAACTATTCTGTGAGACAAAGTGTACAAAGATTTAGGCTTGCATACCCGAAAACCACAGTTAGGAAGAAAAATCATTTCAGGAAACAACATCAGAACAAGAACACATATAAATTAAAGGCATACTGTTTATCATTCCACTTCATTGCACATATAAGAAAACAATACTGCCGTCATTCTTGAGTAAGAAAGTTTCCAATGAAAGAGGAAGTTCCACAATGAATACAGGTGCAGACAGTCTTATTACCACAAATTTAGTTATATCAAAACACTTGGTGGTGTCACTAAGTTAATTAAATTATCTATACTTTTTACTGGAAAGGTAATCATTTCCCTGCCTTCATATGTTAACTTAAAATCACTTACAAATGGAAATATAGATTCAGTAGAAAAGACTTCACATGCAATCCTATACAATGCATTCTGGTTTTTTGTTTGTTTGTTTGTTTTAGTATTTCATATTGGATATGTACATTTCCAATATATACAACCACATATGTTCAACAGATGTCACAGAACTGTCCTCTTGCCACAAACGTTTATATTTACATACACATTTATATCTCCAGATAGATGCTTTTCTCTTCTAGAGACACACAAAGGTAGCCTGAAGAGTTTAGGTTTTTTAGAATTTTTGGAACCTAATGTTTTGATTTATCTTGAATGGATGATAAGATGAGGAGTCCACAAAAAAATGCAGCTATACATGCCAACCTTTTCAAGAGAGATGAGTTATCTTTAGGAATAATAATCTGTGCAAGATCATTAGTGATCTGAGAAATTTCATGTGCCACACAAACAAATATGAAAGTGCTGACAATGATGTTGAGCATAGGGTTTCCAGGTATCAGTACCAAGATACCCCTTGTGTCCGCTGCCAGCCATATGTGATACTGGCAAATAAATAGCTAGGAGAAAAAATATTTAAGTCAGATATTTATAGAGGGTCCATGAATAAATTACAGTTTTCCCTAATTTAAACAATTTGGTTGCATAATAACATTAGAAGGCTTTCCTAAAACCATTTTATTCTGTCTCACTACTGGCCCTGAAAAGTCCACTGCAGTCTACTCCTTAGAACTCCAACTGCTAATACAATCTCTCTTATAAATGAGACCAAAGAAAATAATAGAACAATTATTCAAGAACTCAAAGAGGAATTTATTTTCCCTATTTTAAGAGACAATTTAATAAATCCTATACTCTAAAAACTCTAAAATATATGTTGTTATTACAATATAAATTGTTTTAAAACATTCTATTTCAAATAATAAAGCTTAGACTACTCAGAATACATTTTAAAACCTACTGTTCAAACTGATTTTGTAGATAATTTCATATTATGTATCTTACACAAAATGTAATGAGTTTATACTTTCTCCCACAATTTCCAATCATAATAAGGGTAAATTTTATTATGGTATGCATCAATAAACTGAATTCCAGTAATATATTTAATTATGGAGATGAACAAAAAATCAAAATCCCCTCAGTTTGATTTCATTTATATACCTGGTCTAATATTTTTCTCTCTTGGTCTCAGCATCTTGGTTGTGCTTGAAAGCTCAAGACAACGTAAATAATATTTTGCAAGTAATCTATATCTAGTCATTTAAAAATAAGGCTTAAAAACATTCCAAAATACTTTAGTATTGTTGAAAGTTCTAAGTCTTTTCCCTGTAATTCCATAATAGCTTCAGTTTAGAAAAAAGTACGTCCGATTTTCATACTCACATATATGTGTGATATTTACACACACACACGTACATACACAAACATGAAACACCTGGCTGTGTAAGATAAGCAAAATATTAATGTACCAACCTCTAATGAAATTTTTCCAAACCAAGCAAAAAATGAACTGTAAACTGAACGGGCATATCCAGGGATGTTTCTTATTAGGATGAAGGCTAAAATCTAAAGAAAAAGCACAAAAGCAAATATTAATAATCTCTTTATTGAAAAGTATTTTGTATAAAGCTTTCTTTTAAATGATAACCTTATTCTTTATGTTTGTGAACTTGACACATATACAACAGTCTTTTTATATTCTAAAAGTATTAGAAAGTTATTTTTGTTCTAAAGTCTACCCAAACTGGATTTCTCAACACATGGTCGGTATGCTGCATACCAATGAACATTTTAAGTAGTACATGGCTGAACAATTTTATGTATACTGGAAAAATTACAGATTTGCCTAAGGCCCTTTGTGTAGAAAAAGTTGCTATCATATTTATGTAGCAACACTTCACAAAATCATATAATTTTGCTGCTCTCATAAAGTATCTGCTTGGTTGACAGTCATTCCCTCTCTTGACTCCCTTCAAAATCCTCCTTCCGCTGACAGCCATGATAGTACGGGAAATGGCATGGCTTTTAACATGTCTTCATGTTTGCTCTGCATGGCCTGGCGAATGATGTCTTGAACTATATTCACATGTAATATATTTTCCTCTCTGGATCTTTTCTCTCCCGAAAGAATCTCCAGCTTTTGGGATCCTGGCCTTTACTCCTCTCCCCTGTCCTTTTGTACCAGGTGGAACAATCTTTCATTTTCGGTGGAACAATCTTGCATTTTCTTTTTATTTATTTATTTATTTATTTATTTATTTAAGTTCTAGGGTACATGTGCACAACGTGCAGGTTTGTTACATATGTATACATGTGCTGTGTTAATCATTGTCTCACATCCAATAACCAGCTTACCAAGCAAAGAATCCTTGCCTTAGAATGTACCCTCCTTATAAAAAGCAAGAAACTGTAAAGAAAAAAAGTTATCTCCACTTTCACAACTACTTTCCAGAAACTTTCTCTTACAAAAGGATTGACAAATCTGTTCACACTTCAGGGAAAAACTCATATTCAATGTTGATCAACCTGGGCATTTTGTCAAAGGATCTAAGAAGTCTCTAGGATGCATAAAAGATGAAGGAGGAGGAGATAATATGGGAAAAAGGAACCAAAGTGAACCACTCAGGTATAATTAAATTGAGTGATTCTCATGGGCAATAGCATCAAAAAGACTCAAGTTTAAATCTAGTCTTTTGCTTGTGTTAGTCCTGGGACTTGTGGCAAGGCACTTAATCTTGTGGGTCTTTTTTTTAATTTAAACAAATAGAGATAAGCTTTACTTTGAAAGGTTCATGTGAACATTAAATGAGAAAACATACATAAGGTACTTACTATAGCACAGGTTGTGAGTCATTTAAAGAAACATTGTAAATAATTAATAGTATAAGTGATATACAGAGTGGTGAAAATCATGAATGTGAGACCTAAACAAAGGCTTTAAACATAAAACCATTTAATGAGTTATTATAATTAAAGTATTGCATAAGTTGTACAACGCTAAAAAGAATGTAGGCTCCATAAGAGTAGGAACTATGTCTGATTTGGTAACCACTGCAGCCCTTGGCATAATATCTAGCATGTAGTATTAACTTTTTGGTTTTGTTTGTTTGTTTGAGACGGAGTCTTGCTCATTGCCCAGGCTGGAGTGCAATGATGCAATCTCAGGTCACTGCAACCTCCGCCTTCTGGGTTCAAGTGATTCTCCTGCCTCAGCCTTCCAAGTAGCTGGGATTACAGGTGCCCGCCACCACGCCCAGCTAATTTTTGTATTTTTAGTAGAGACAGGGTTTCACCATGTTGTCCAGGCTGGTCTCAAACTCCTAACCTCAGGTGATCCACTGGCCTTAGCCTCCCAAAGTGCTGGGATTACAGGCGTGAGCCACCATTTTCTAAGGGCAGATTAAGTGAAAAATACTGAGCTACATCATTTCCATATATTAAATACAAGAACCCTTTGAAAGAGATTTTAATATCCCTATTACTACAGAGAAAGGAAGGGCTTAGAAAGATGAAGTAACTTCTCTACATTTTCTGGAGTTCAATCTCAAATCTCTCTGCCTCTAAAAACCATTTTCTTATCAAGAATTAAGATGTAGAAATTTCTCTAAATCAAGATAGTACCTGTACCACAGAAACAGACGGATGGAGTTCATTGCACTCTGCTTTGTTTTTACAACTGCTAGCCCAGATGGAATAGGTCTAAAACAAAAAATGTATGGAAAAGTTCAAAAAAGCAAGTCTGGAAGAGGCATAAGCCTCACAGTGTTTTTTTTTTACAGTTCTTTATTTATAACATTATACTTCATTATGCTATGTAAAAACTATCAGTAAAAACTGCTTGCAAGTTTGCTCATCACCTGTTTTGGTATGTTCAACTGTCCAAACATAAGAAAGCACAGAGGGAGGTGCACAAGTCTGTGCTTTTCTGGAAACAGTGATCAAAAGGCAGTGATGGCTCTCCATATGAAACACCTTACATTACATTTTATCCCAAATTTATTGTAACTTTTAAAATTCCCGTTTAATTGAGCTCTTATTTATTCTTCATTTTTAACTTATATATAGTCTCTTTAGAATTTAAGTCCAGTTAGAAAAATAAGGAGATATACATCGCCTCAAGCATTTAACATTACCTTGATTTGATCATTATGCATTGTATGCTTGTATCAAAATATCACATGTGCCCCATAAATATGAACTAATATGTATTCATAATTAAAAACAAACAATTTTAAAAAATTATTGAAACTATTTTTATAGATAAAAATATAGTTTATCTTGGCAAACATTTTGCATGCATTTGAAATAAATGTGTATTCTGCTGTTATTGCTTACCTAACTATTCTAACATCAGGTCAAACTGACCGTGTCCTTAAGATATTCTACAACTTTACTAAATTTGTCTAGCTATCCTATCAATTACTGGGAGAGAAGTATTAAAATTTCTAAATATTAAAAAGAAAAATAAGGAGAAAAAAAGATTTATTATTAAAAATAATTGATTATATTTCCATATCTTAATGTTAATATTCCATACCATTTAGAATTTTGGAAAGTTTTCAAAACTTACCAAGAAAGAAACTACTGAAATAAACAACAGAAAATTTGAAATTTTGTTTGAAAAAAGAGGTTCACCCTTTCCTTCAGAAAGTATTTGACGCTTCTGCAAAGCCAGATAAATAAAAGCAAACAGCATTCCGTGGAAAACTACCTGAAAAGTAAAGAGAGAAAATTTGTTTTAAACAGTTACTTTTCAAAAAACAGGAAAAATATTTGGTTAGTGAGGAATATATGAATAAAAGTAGGTAGGTTAAAAGCTTAAAGTTTGAAGTGTCTATGAAGGACTTCAAGAGTGAAACTTCAAGAAATGAAATAAAGCCGATGATTGTTAGAAACCATCAGCAATAGACAAGCAAGCATCTCTTGGAACAATATGAGATAACACTGGTTGATTCTGAGCAGTCTCAGTGGCAAGTGAAGTAATAAAGACAATTTAAAAATAATAAGGAACTCTCCTACAGACATATGATAAAATTTAAATGCACCCAACAAAGATGAAACACATTTTATATCAGTCCTTTCAGTCAAATAAAACAAAGAATAACACCACCAAGTCATAATTCTGAAAAGAAGTGTACGCTCATAAAAGTGAAAAAAATATGGTAGACCGGAAAGTACATGAGCTTTCTCTTTTTAAACAAGGACTTAATGTGAACTATCATTGCAATAGACTGAACATTTCCTTCCACTCAAAATCGTAAGTTGAATCATGTTAATCCCCAGTGTGACAGTTTTGGAGGTAAAGCCTTTGGTTGGTCATTAGGTCAGAGCCTTCATGAATGGGATTCATGCCCTTTAAAAAAAAAGACCCCAGAGAGCACCCTTGACCCTTGCAGCACATGAGGACAGAGTGAGAAGTCAAGTGTCTATGAAATAGCAAGTGGGCCCTCACCAGACCAAATCTGCTGGTGTGATTTTACACTTCCCAGCTTCCAAAACTGTAAGAAATAAATTTTTGTTGTTTATAAACCACCCAATCTATGGTACTCTATTACAGCAGCCTAAATAGACTGGGACAGTCGTATCATAATACACTGCTCTAATGAGAATGTTGAGAATTTAAAAATTATTTGATGTGAAGACTTTAGCAAAGATTTTATTCAGATGTGGTTTTGAAATGCAATGTAGTACACTGGAAAAATGCATAGGGGTTGGAAACTAGGAAAGGCAAAGAATAGGCACTAAGAAAACATTTATTGGAAAAAAGAGATCAGTCAAAAAGGAAAGGAAAAAAGGAAAGAATGAAATAATTAATAGTTATTATCAGTTTTCCAAATGCTGTGCTAGATTTACATTTTCCTGGCCAATTGAACCTTAACCTTTCTTCAAGATCAAGTTCATAGACTAATACAAGACACTGCTCTTTCTTCTTTGCACACTTCTACCACTAAATCTATATTGCATAGTTAGTAGCCTCTTATAATAGTAATCTTGGGTTTTAAACTAGACTCTGAAAGCTTCGAAGCCTGCTGAGATGTCTTCTTTCTTTCTCTAATGTATACTTCATGGCATCAACATCTAGGGCACATATTGAAACTCAATAAATATTGTTTTGAATGGCTGAAGCATATATACAACAAGTCACCTATAAATCAAAATTATAAGTCAGACAAAGGCCATGTTATAGATAATATTTTAAAATAATATTTCCCAGCAGATATATATATACACATGCATACCCTTTCACTGCTGTAAAGAAAAGAGTGCAGGGGGTAGTGGACTGCTGGACTGCTTTGATTTACTAAATCAACATCTTTATTTATTCTGAAACTAAGTATAGATAGATCAAAAATTTCCAATCATTTTCCAACAGTATAATTTGAAATGACAAAATATCACAAAGTAAATACATACATAACGGTCTAACCTCCATCTGAACCACCATTCATATACATTCCCTTTCAGTTCAAAACACTTGGACAATGGCCAAAGAGAAAAGATCTTCTCAAATGCACCCTGAAAAAAGGAATCCAGAAAATAAATTAAGATGGTACAAGTCAATATTTGCTTTGCAATTCTATTACAGATTATAGTTTTCTGAAGTTTGGATTATATAAGAGTCATTCACAATGTTAAAATTCTGTTTTATTTCATTTGAAAATATCACTTCATTTGAAATGTATTTCAAATGAAATTTTAAAAATTTGAAAATAAATTTATCTTCTAATGACCAAAAAAGATGACTTAAAACTTGGTAAACTTATTTTCATTTCACATGAAAGGCTACTGAGAGTGTAAAATTTTCTTAAGCCCCCAAATCAAAAAATCTGGTAATTAGAAAATCATTCTACCTAAGGTTTTTAATCTCACAGACAAAATAACTAGTATTTACTCATCAAACAGAAAAATACAAAATATTTCAGCCAGTATGGTATCAGTATCCCAAATAACAACTGTTAAAGTTAAAATATAGTTATCATTCTCCAAATGTCCTCAATAATCTACAATTAACTATTTGAGTTAAAAGAGTCCTCTGAATTAGTCACCTTACTCAATCAACCATACCCAAATTCCATTACCAGCCTTTGAAACAAAGTTTACAGTTTTACTCTGATAAAGTTAGTGAATAGTACCCTCTTATGAATCTGACAGGTTGGAAAATCTGGGATTGAAGGGGCAGATGTCTTGGGTACATTCCTGCACATTAATGAAGTCTTTCAAAGAAGAGAACAAAACCCTCAATTTTCAGAATAAAGAATCACAATGAACTCTATCAAGGAAAGCTCCATTACTAGACCTAATGCTACGGCATAAAAAGTGTAACATCGTGATTTTTAAAGAGGCTATTAAAAAACAAAGAGAAAAGATGAAAATAATATTATATTTTAGATAATGCTGAGTCTTTAGGTCAGAAGAACTTTATAATATTATTTTAATAAAACGCAACCGTCTCCATTTAACCACAGAATTTAAAATGCACATAGCATATTAAAAATAGGTTATATCAAAATCTATGTGTCAGAAAATTAAGGATGATTTTTACTAAGAGTGGCAATCTGAAGTCTGAAGTACTTATAGATCATATATATGTGTGTATATATATGTATATATATCAGCATGAATATAGATATTCACTAGGTATGTACCTCTCAGATAAAATATATGATTTTATGGATCATACATATGTAACATATCTATGATTATATATGATGTATACACAATTTAAAATTTTATCTCTAATTAAAAATTTCTTATTATGTGATCAATAAACAAATATTAAGCACTATTTTGTGAAAGACAGTGGGCTTTTTGTTCTTGTCCAGGGGTCAACACTGACCCAACGCTAGGGAAACATTCTTAATCCTTATATTGAACCTTTAGTCAGCTTTTCTTTCTTTCCCTCAGCAGTATCCACAGAGTGTTGGGAATTTTAATGAATAACTGTCAAGAAGTTGTTGCCCTAACCTGGCTATTTCCTTATACATTTCTTAGTTGTTTCCTTATTTATCTTCTATAAAGAAGCTTGAGTGTCAAGCAGAAATAGTAGTGCTTTAAAGACTTTTAAGTATAAAAACAAATATAAAAGTCTACAAAAAGAAAAAAAAAACCCAAACGGCATAGGATTATACATACACACAAAATGCCTATAGGGCACTTCCTTCCACCTGATACAGCCAGGTACAAAACAGTGTGTTGAAGATGTGAGTACACTGCAGAATATGACACAACTACAGGCATTTGAATTAAAATGTGTTGTTATAAATATCATGCTGCCCAAATAATACGTATGCCTGATGGATTTAACCAGCAGGTAGCAAGATTGCCATCCTGTTAAAATAACAGAAAATCTCAACCATCAGAATAGAAAAATACAAGGTTAGAGCTAAAAAAAAAATGACCAAAAGTTTTATTTAATTAAACATACTATAGATACACAAACCCCTTTGCTCCTAAGTTGGTTGTACTAACTGCTAAAATTTTACTCTATGTAGTTATGGAAAAATCAATACTTTGATGCAATGAATAATACACAAACTAGCTGCAAATTCTGTCAAGAAAATTTTGATCTCCACTTAGACTAGTGTCTTATAAGAAGCATTCAATAAATGTTTGATTGATCAAAGTCAAGTAAAACGGATCTTGAACAACTGCCAGAGGAAGAGCTTTAACTTGCTCTTACAACAAAAACAGTGGTAACAAAGTATATATATCTCAAAATAACTACACTGAGTACTCAGCTTCAGAGTGACACTTTTATTACAGTCATTAAAAAATGAAGCTAAAAAAAAGCTCTGACTCTTCTCACATGCTTTAATAGACTTGAACTTTAAAATAAAATATGAAAAAATATAAACTGAAAAGATTGTACAAACCTGAGAATATGCCAAAAAACATATGAATAACAGCAAAAAGCCTAGTTTCAACAGTAAGCCAAAATGCCAGAAACAATTTCCTAAGAGAGAAAATATTTAATTTACTAAAAAATAAATTTATATTAGACAACATATTAAATACTCTCTATTTGATATATGTACATGCTGAATAGTTCTTAAAATAATATAAGAATGCTTACAAGAATACACAAAATATATCCAGTTAGTATAAATTACAAGTAGGGCAAAAAGAAAAACAAAGGATTCTTGCTAGGCATGAGGCTATAAAGTATAACTGATACCCTGTACACCTGCTGTTCATCCATTAGAAATGTATTTTTAAATGCCTCCTGGATTCAATTATACTTATTCATTATTCAAAGTTACAGCAAAATCTGGAACAAGATGTTCAATATAATTCTAACAAACACTCCTGTTGAATATGACTTTGGTGATATTGCTTAAACATTAAAGTTCCAAGGAGAAAGCTTAAACCCCCTAATGGATTAGAGTTTAAACATAAAATATATTTTAACATATGCATATTTAAAATTATGTGTTAAAAGTTTATTGATAGTTTATTCGATTAATATGCTGGGTTTGTATAGAGAAATTAAACTACAGAGGCTGTCCAAAGACACTACTGGACTTTAATAGAGGCTAGACCTCAACTCATTCCTGAAAAATTATTTGATGTTATATTGGAAGCCAATGGAAAAATATTTTTGACACATAATATTTGGTTGAAAGAGTCAAGTTAAATACATTTTTAAAAATAAAACATTATTTTCCAAAAAAGGAAGATTTTATTTTAATGATATGATCTTGAGGGTGAAGAAAGCATTAAGATAAGTGACTGTGGCCTCACTTTGAACATTATTAGTAACTAACCATGTGAAATTAGAAAATAACAAGCTTTTGGGTATTTAGGTTCCTTATATGTAAAACAGGTTGATAATAACTGCTTCAAAGCTTGTCTAGAAAATACATTATATTAGTGCTTTTAAATTGTGTTTGACATAAGAAGACTTTTGCAAAGAAATATTTACTCAAAATCTCAATATATACATAAATCAAAGTAGAGCTGCCAAGATTGAAGCAAAACATAGGGGCATGGAGGCCTATTTGGCTTTCCCTTCTCTCTTCCAGCTCTCTCCACTCTGCCTCTGTATAAGAAGACAGTTTAAAAACTGTAGCATTAGTTAATATGTAAAATGGTTTTGAAGAATTTAAATTTAAAAAAGAAAAAACACATATAATGTAAACTATTATTCTCCACTGTTATATTACTTTAACTACTTAGCTGTAACATTTTAGAAATATCGTTTAAGAACAGAATTTCAAAATGTTAAAACTACATATAAATTTAAACTGTCTACATCACTTAATAAAAATAATATCATTTAGCAACTACAAAGAAATTTCACACGTTGAAAAAATATATTTACTAACATTAGTAAGAAAGTATATTTACCGTTTGCTTTTTTTTGGATTATTTGTGGCCATAGTGCTAAAGTAACATATATGACCATGAACCATACAGTGACCAAGGGGACAAAGTAATAGAATTGATAAGGTCGATCCATTACTATACATAACACCACTACCAGGAAATTGAGACGAAATAAAACCTATTGAAAAGGAGAAGAAAATGGTTTCATTCTAAGTAATTGTTTTCATTCTAGGTACACACGAACAGCAAAGGCAGATTTTCTCTGACAGAGTATAAATGGCTAAGACTCAATAATGACTGTACAAGTATATATTACTAATCCCTTAAATTACATTTGTTTTACATTCACTGTAAAGAGCTGAATATAAAATATGTATACATCATCATATTAACTAAATCCCAGCAAAGCACCAACCTGAGCTGTCCTCTGGCTATAACTGCCATCTTGCTAAAAGAGAAAAAAGTCGTCCTTCTGAGGGCTATAGTGTAGAAGCATAGATTAGATTATCTTAAGAAAGCAGTGTCCATTTCATCTTTGTTTAATGTTGACTTACCCCATTTGGGATTAAATTAAGAGTTGTCAAAGATACAAAATAGTATTACTCAAAACTCAAAGTTAAAAATGTCTTTGGGACTTTAATAAGAGTCATTTCAGATATCAGCTTGATGTCATTCAAAAAACACAGAATTTCAGCAGATTTTTACTAGTGCTGTACCACTTACTATGTGACCTTGGGCAAATTATTTAAGCTCTCTGAGCCTTAGATTCCTCATCTGTAAATATAAAGATAACAACTCAAGGCTGTAACGTGGGAGTAAATGAAATAATGTTTAGAAACTGCTTAGCACTAGGTAGAAACTTAATTAATATTCATCCTCTTCTCAAAGAAAGAAAACATAGCACATTATACTAATTCCAGGTAACTATTTCTACAAAATTAAAGTGAATCAGCAATGCTGTCTCCTGTGTACCAGTGCTTTTATTATATATTAAATTATATTTTCCTTCTTTCACTAATAATTTATCTTGAAATACTAAACACAGAACACAGAATACAACTTCACAGTGCTATTTCATAAATTCAAATTATTCAGTCTTATAATGACTATATTTATATTTTTTTCTCAAGTTAATGCTTTCTCAAGAAAGTATGTTCAACTGGAAGAAAAGGAAATAACAGTGCATTCCTACCTGACATACTCTATAGATTCCAAAATCTCCTTTTATCCAAAAGTATGAGAAATGCCCATACCCTGTCTGAAATAAATATGCAGCAACCAGAACTCGAATGTGCATGTATACAGGCAAAAACTGTTGACAAAGATAAACAGGTAAAACATATGTTGGCATCAACTACACCTTGGATTATCATAACAAGTACATTTAACAAAGATAATAAATGATTATTAGCATTTGGCATCAGCTCAATCACAAAGTTGATTCTCAAAAGTTAGTCATTATAGCAAGGATTACAAAAATGTAGAACTGGAATTGGAGAGACCTAGCTTCAAATTCTAGTTCTGCCACTTTCTAACTACATGACTTTGAGTTTTCTAATTTGCAAAATGAGACTATTCCTTCCTTCCTTGAAGGGTTCTTGTGAAGGATGAATGAGATAATAAATGTGAAGCACTTTATACATTAACTTGTACCCAATTAAAATTCAATATGATAGCTATAATTAACTGTCATACATCCTGAATGCAAGATGGATTCATACTTTTACCCAGTGTAAACATAATTTAGGAATATTATTTCCCTCCCACTCTTACTTTACAAAACAATTTTGTTTTATGCTCCTACATCACTGTCTTCATCATGACCAAGTCCCTTAATGTCATTTATTATGGTATTTCAGAGCATCACATCTTTACTTCTAAGTTGAATGAAATACAACACATTTGAATCCACATATGATAGGAGGCACCAAAAAATGTTATTTCATTTACTAGTACTAATTCTCATAACCTTAGAACACTGTGATTCCACCTTTCTACACCAGCTGATCCTTTATGTGTACAATCACAATTTCCACAGCATAACTTGTACACTGCCTTTTTTTTTTTTTGGAGACAGTCTCACTCTGTCGCCCAGGCTGGAATGCAGTGGCGTGATCTCGGCTCACTGCAACCTCCACCTCTCAGATTCAAATAATTCTCCTGCCTTAGCCTCCCAAGTAGCTGGGACTAAAGGCACCCGCCACCACATCCAGCTAACTTTTTGTATTTTTAGTAGAGACAGGGTTTTGCCATGTTGGCCAGGCTGGTCTCGAACTCCTGACCTCGGGTGATCTACCCGCCTCGGCCTCCCAAAGTGCTGAGATTACAGGCATGAGCCACTGCGCCTGTCCATACACTGCTTTTTAAAGTGATCTTTGAGGCTGGGTGCTCAATACAGTAATTGAGCAGACACATTAAATAGATTTTATAAGTCCTGAAATGTATGCATCTTTTGAAGATTTCATTCATGTTTCTTTTTGGACGGATATTTTTTCTGGGGAAAACAAACAAACATGAACTTAGACCATAAGTTCTACACAGCATCCACGCTAAGCAAACTTACAGATTCCCTATCTCTTAAACTGATACTTCTTGTACTCCTTTGTCAAGTCTCTTTTATTTACCTGTTTATTCTTGCCCTGGAATGTTCTTCCCCTAAGCATTTTGCTTATTCAAATCCTACTCTTCTTCAGAGCCTGGTTCAAAATTCCAATTTTTACTATCAGATGAATGTCATTTCTCCTTCCTGAGTTCCTATAGCACCTACAATCTACATATCAAACAAAGAGTTTTTATTTATTGCCCTTCATCATCAGTTCTTTTTAAATGACTTATTAGATCAGAAATTTTCAATGAGGGTGTAACATATTAGAATCACAAGGATGGAGGCAGGAAATGTACTGAAATAAACCTCAGAATTTATCTAATCCAAATCTGTGCCCTTACCTCATTCCTGAATGTACTCTAAAATATCCCCTTCGTGGATTGCCTAAGCATCTTTTAATAGAAGAAAACAAATTCCCAAGGCAATCCATTCCACCTTTAGATGGTCATTAACTGCTATAATGATCCTTTTCATGAAAAGTTGAAACCTAACTATACGTAAAAGCTACCAAGTTCAGCCCTCTAGAGCAGCGCTATCCAACAGAAATAAATGTGAGCCATAAGTAATTTTTTAATGAGGTTACCAGAGCATTTTAAAAGTTAAAAGAAACAGGTGAAATTAATTTCAATAAATATATTTTATTTAACTCAATATGTTCAAAATATTTCAACATGAGATATTTTCATTCTTTTATATAAAGTTTTTGAATTTAGTACTGATTTATCATAATTAATCATATTTAATGTGGTATACATTTCACACTTACAGCACATCTGAATCCTGACTAGCTACGAAGTGCTCAATAGCCACATGCAGTGAATGTGGCTAGCACAGCAGAGAGTCTAGCTCTAGAGTCTGTCAGAGCTAACTCACTCTTATATCTGATGGCTCTATAAATATTTGAAAACAGATGTCGAACCTAGGTTAATCATTCCTAATTACTTTAAGCACTCTCCATAAAACATGCTTTCAACTCCCTTAAAGACTGGGGCTGGGACTACAAAGTTGGGTTGGTTATTACATTTAAACAGTAAGTATAATTCATTTAAACAAAATTAAATACTGTAACAACAATTTTCCAAGTTCCTGCCAATGTTGGCCTATTGCAACTTTCATGTAATATTTATTCCAACGTTTTAAGATATTTTAAATGAACAGAAAAGTTGTACTAGTACAATGGACACCTATATGCTGTATGCTGGACCTTTTAAAAGTATGTTGCAGACCATGTGACAGTGCTCCTAAACTATTTCACCACCTATGTCTTAGGAAAAAAGGATGGTTTCTTACATGACCACATTATCATTACCATACCCAAGAAATTTAATATAACAGTATTTACTGTATGATCCATATTCAAAATTCTCTATTATTTTGCTGTATTACCTACAACAAAAGTTTAGTATTAAGAATATGCATGAAATTTCAACTTTACATTAGAGTTAATAGCTAGTTTGACTTCCAGTTCTGCTTTCTCCAGTCCCCCATATATTCTCATGACCTTTCATTCAGGTCTTTCCATGGAAGTTACTTACAAACTCTCCAAGGGCAAAAAAAAAAAAAAAAAAAAAAAAAAAAAACCAGTGGAACACAAATCACCTACTGTATATACCAAACTTACTATTCTCTTTGTATTAAATTTACAACATTTCATCTATATTTCATATATATTATACTTTAAAATAATGTTTACACTAACAATGATAATGTCAGACCATAAGGATTATTTTAATAATTCTCTAGAATTTTTGATACAGTTATCTTTTAGCATAAAAACATGACACAACTAGTTTGACATATTTTATTCAAAATAAAAAATATTAAGTAATTAAAATAATCATGACAGTTAAAAGTTTTTAGTACGAGTAATCCCTCAAATATCCAAGAATCAAGTCCCCAAATATGTTTGTTATAACCTATACTAATAATGTTTTGCCTATGTAGATATAGGAAATTTTTTAACTACAACATCCTATATAAAAGAACAGGGATATGTTAGTTAATCATTATAAATGATCTGTTAGTGAAAAGCATGTCCTTCCAGAACACAGATTTTTTAAAATTGTAAATTAGAATATATTAGGATGCAGTATAAGAAGATATATTAGAATGTTAGGTTGGTAAATGATTATAATAGAATACCAAATTGCCTTCATCTTTTTATGATATAAATCCTTTCTGGAGTCACTGAATTGAGGAACTTAATCTGCCATTAATTCTTTCTACCTGATTTTTTTAAACAGTAGTATCACCCTTTAATATGTCAGCAATTAATTATGTCTCTAAGTGGTATTTTCTTAAAACAAATTCCATTACTCAGTCTTTATTCATACATCAGAGATATTCTTAGGATTCAATTTTCATGTCTACATACTTCTCAGAGAATCTCTGGATTTATCCTACAAATTCTTAGCTGGGCTTATAAACTATGTCTTACTATCTCCATCTCTCCTTGCCTTGGATCATTTACACTATCTTGGCTCTTTCATAATGACTCAAATTCACTAGCTTCCCGTCAGCTGCAGCATCACAGGAATTTCACTGTTGCAACAAACATACATATCATAGCCAAATAATTTTAGTAACATTTATACTTCATTTCTCTGACTTCTACACTTCAAATAAATAATTCATAAAATCATAAATAATTTTTGAAAATAATAAAGAGGCAATGAAGAAAGACATCCTTCAATTGTTAGAGATATCTGAAAAACACTAGTAACCATGTTATTTATCTTCTTAATGCTGCTTAAATCTTCAAAATACTCCTTTCTGGGCAACACTCCTCTCTAACTTCAACTTATCATTGATGCACGTACTGTTTACAGATGTAAGCAAATAGAACAATAAAAAACAGTTCAGTAGTTCCCAAATTATGAATTTATTAAAATTTTTAAACATATTTTATGGAAAGTTTGCATCTTCACTATAAAAACTTGTGTGAAAAGTGGCTGTTAGGCTCAGCCACAAAAGTTTGTTGTAACTGTAATGTAGCTGGGTTGTTACAACTCAGAACACACATTTTTTTCTAGCCCTGCCACATCCAAAGTGGCCAGAGATCATAATAATCCTGTCTTTTAAGACACCCATGGAGAAGGAAAAAACTTATTTTTTCCAGGTACAAAAGGTACTAGGTGATCAAAGGAAGGGTCTTCCACACCAGAGAGGAGATAATACTACTTAGCACTTAGGAAGTATGGCACACCCTACATAGTCTACAAAGGTGGTCCACCTGTATTTGGATTCTTTGAATACTGAGGCAAGAGAGTTGGAAGTTTTTTAAACTTTAAAAATGTAAAAATAGCTAGTCAAACTTCCTAAAAGACAGCAAAGGATAGAACATAAACTATAATAATCAAATTTGATTTCTTCTGACAGTAACTTGCCTATTCTAAATCCTTTATAATTATCATCTTCAAAGTTTCCTTTTTTCTTTTTTTTTTTTTTTTGAGACGGAGTCTCACTCTGCAACCCAGGCTGGAGTACAGTGGTGAAATATCGGCTCATTGCAACCTCTATCCCCTGGGTTCAAGTGTTTCTCCTGCCTCAGCTTTCCGAGTAGCTGGGATTACAGGCATGCACCGCCATGCCTGGCTAGTTTTTGTATTTTTAGTAGAGACAGGGTCTCACCATGTTGGCTAGGCTGGTCTTGAACTCCTGACCTCAGGTGATCCACCCACCTCGGCCTCCGAAAGTGCTAGGATTACAGGCATGAGCCACTACACCTGGCCTCTTCAAAGTTTCCTGATAACTTCAAATTAGCTGTTCAATAAGATGGCATAAAATAATACCCTTAGATATCAGCTATTTCTATTATGTTAAAAATTAAGGCCAAGCAAATACAAAGCAATTATTGCCTTATCTTTTTTAAAAAAAATTTTGCTTTGAAAATTACATTTTCTCAAAGAGGAGAAAAATGGAAAGGCGGAAAGATTAAGTGGGAAATAAGAAGGGTCTATAACTGGTAGAGATTATAAAACACAAAAAAGCTGGTGCCCTTAAAGAAACATTAAAATGACATCACTTCCTATACTTTCTGAACTTAAATTCCAAATACTTACTGTACTTGCTCCAGAAATGTGATAAATCAAAATCACAAGTTGCATCCAGCCTTTCCATTCGTCTGTTTGTTCTCTATTTAATACTTTAGTCTGTGTAAAGGAACCAAAATCTGTTTTAAAATTTATCATGAAGAAATTATTTAACGGCATATAATAAGTATGTTAAAAGTTTTCTTATAGGACATAAAGCTAATGCTTCTGTCAAAAGAACCTTGATGGTGAGAAACAGTTAAAAACTGTCATTTTATTTCTTGCTAAAAGATAGTATAAAACTGTTTTAAATATAATATGAATCTGAAAAATATAAACTGAAGAGATTTTGAATATTTAAGTTGATCCCCTTGGTTTTGTATTAAATGACAATGTATTAAAATTAAATGTACTAAAATTAAACTATGACAGATGTGAGTATTTATAAATCTAAAAATGGCATTCTATAATTTTCTTTAGAATTTCAGGGTTAAAAGGATCTTACACTTCCCCTACACTTTACTGACAGAAAAAAAGCTCTATTATTACAGTTTACTTTCCCCAGTATATTCTCAATGAAGATGAATAACTAATTAATAATCCTCACAGGAGAGGTATGTTTTACAATAGAATTCAGTAATTCAAATAAATCATGCCTTGTAAAGAAGTTACACAAATATTCTGAGCAATGACAGCAATTCTAAAATTGGAAAATCAGAATACTGTGAGTAGTGGTGGCCACATCATTAAGTTCTGATTGGTATGTATATATGTCTGACTGATAAATATATAAATATAAAATATGTTTGTGTGCATAGGCATTTGTTAATTATATTCTTTTACTTTATAAAAGATAATAGTATCTCATGCTTGAAGACCATTATAAAATCAGAAGTACTTCAACATTCTCTGTCAACAAGCAGGCAAAATAACACTAAGTCATGAAATCTTTTTCACAGGTCATATTTCCCAACTTTTCAACAATTTTCACGTGACTCTGACCTTTCTCCAAACTGTTCCGAAAAAGGAACAGTTAAGAGTCCACTAAGTGAAGTGTAACTACAATCTTCCTTCATCTTCATCTCTATACCTGTTTGTGTATTTTGTCATGATAAATGATATTAGTTCTTTAACACAGAGTATGTAATGAGACAAGAAGGGTAACATGAGTTAAAAAGAAAATGACTCTTACCTCTTTAGTATTTTCATTATAAAATACTCCCAAAACCAAAATGTAGATAATTGGAATAAAGAAAGATGAATGTGTATAAAATTTGTTTTCCTTCATGAACAGATTTGCACGGTCACACATATAGAAATATGCCATAATCAGGCCAAGTTTGCAGAAAGATTGTAAAAGTATTTCTAATGAAGACACAGGGGTATTGATAATATTTTTCTTTTCCTCTCCACTTTCCAAATCAGTACACGGCTTATTCTTCCGATGAGCATTACGATGAATTATGTAAAAAATTAAATATCCGATAATAGATAAAGTGAAAAAACAAGCAGCTAGCTTCTGTATGAGAGTAACAGGAGGCCGAGGTTGACAACAGGACCCATCTACAGGCTTCAAAATCTTATTGCAATACACATTCATAAGAATCATTGCAGTCTGTGAACAAATCAAGTTATTTGGTTATTATCTTGTCAGTGATGTATTTCACATTAAATTTTCTCCTGTGAATACTACTGAGTTTTTAGCACTGAAACCAGAATGCTTTCGTATCTTTTGCTACCATTTCCCAAATCATGCAAATAATGGTATTCATTCCATCTGTAACAGCTAGTTCAGGGTGTTTCAAACTTCTGGGGCTATGAACCAAAATACAAAATTCATTTTATAATGTGACCCAAGACAATTACAGGAAACAATACCTATCCTTACGACTTGGAATGCACTCTGAGATTGTTCTATTCTATTCCTTTTTTTTTTTCTTCCCAACACCAATTTCATGGTTGTTAATGGGTTGTGACCTTTAGTTAAAAAATGCTGACAGACATCAAGGACCAAAGAATTTTAATTAGAAGACTTTCAAAACAGAAGATACCAGGCCACTTAAGATAAAGTCTACTGTTTAAATGTGGGGGAAAAAAAGCACAAAATAACTGCCACTAAAAAATTATTAATTTTTAGCTAGCAATATTTGTAATATGCCTTTCATTTGGATTACAGTTTATAGGCCATTTAGGATTCTACAAGTTTTAAGATATCTAATGTTAAATAAAATTTAGAACCTTCAACATGGTTTGATTATAATAAAATTATTCTGGGAAAGTTGAGTCTGTCTAGTTGAAGATTCAGTCAAACTCTAGTTTTATAAAAACTTCATAGTTTAGGCATCTGTGGAACTCTAGATGATTAGTTATTTAAGCCTAAACATTCAAAATAATCAAGATTTGAGAAAATCTCATCCTTTTAGCCCTGAGACTGCAGGTGGTTTTATGCCTGGCACTCTTGCAGATACTAGCCTGCAAATTCCACTGCAAGGTTCTTAACCAGTTTTTAGGGGGTTCATCAAGCCCTTTTATGTATATGGAGAACCATATGTACATGCAAACATACACATTATTCTGCAGGAGAAGAACAAAACCATTGTCTTGTATCAGATACTCAAAGGGCTTATGCAACTCTCACAAAGGTTAAGAACCACTGCTTAATAAGAGAAAAAAACTTAAAATAATTTGTTCCACTGTTTGTGAAAATTTGTAGTTACATAGTTCTCCTTCATACTTAACCTAAATCCCTTTCCATAGGTCAACTTGGATTTGTTCAGTATGTACTCTGTATCTTGAATAATGCTTAGGATAGAAGAGCTATAAGAATTCTTTTTTTCTTTTCTTGAGATGGAGTCTCTCTCTGTCACCCAGGCTGGAGTGCAGTGGCGGGATCTTGGCTCACTGCAACCTCTGCCTCCTGGGTTCAAGCAATTCTTCTGCCTCAGCCTCCCGAGTAGCTGGGATTACAAGCGTGTGCCACCACACCCAGCTAATTTTTGTATTTTTAGTAGAGATGGGGTTTCCCCATGTTAGCCAGGCTAGTCTCGAACTCCTGACCTCAAGTGATCTACCTGCCTCGGCCTCCCAAAGTGCTGGGATTACAGGCATGAGCCACTGCGCCTGGCCAGAAGAGCTATAGGGAAATAATAAAAAATATTTTCAGCATTAAGAAGTGTATTCTTCATTGAAGCTTAATCTTGAAAGCTTAAGGTTTAAGGTAAGGGGAACATAGAAGCAGTAGTTTTTACATGTGAGTGTGCTGAGAACATATATGCTTCTGAGGAGACAATGTATATTAACAGTGATTAGCACTCAGTAAATGAAGTTTAATTTCCCCTCTTCCCTAACTTCTTTCTCTCTTAGAGTATACCAAAACTCTTACGTATATATTCAACTAGATGATAGAAAGCAAAATAATTTCTAGATGTATCTTTATACACAATAACTACAAGTTACTAAGACTGCAATAAAACAAATTATTTATAACCATGTTATAATGACTTATGGCTTAAAGCAATTGATATTATAGTCTCCATCTACTGACATATGTAAAAATTTCTCACAGTTTCTCTGCTCGATTCAGGAAGATGTAAGCCATCCAAAGATTCCATGATGGTTTCTTGAGCAATTAATTTGGAAACACTGAACATCTTAACATTTGATTTAGAATTTCTGGTGCTACTATTCAAAATACTGACTGCAGCTTCATTGTAAGCATCTATCTTCTCATTAGTGATCATCTTCCTATTTTCACTTAATAGATCTTCATAAACAGGATCTGCACGTGAGACACATTTTTAAAAACACATTTTAAAAATCCCTATTGGTAAAAATTGTGATCATGCAAGTTAGCTGTTCCACATTTCATATGTTATTTTTAAAAGTATAGATGGTACCAGGTACCTAATAGTTCATTTTTACGCAAAGCTTCCCAAAGTTTGCAATAAATTTCCCATCTTATATTCAAGTTTTGAGTCAAGCAATATCCCTTTCAAATTTAAAGAACTTTTGTCCCATCTTTATGTACACAGATTTGCGGAAATATTTTTATGCTCCAGCATGTCTTAAGAGTTTAACATTTTTGGATGCTGAGTTATAACAGGTAACAACAAATCTAAAATGAGTTATAGAAGACTGCTTAATTAAAAATAGCTGCCCATCTTTTTTTCTCTTGTCACTGCTTAATTCTGTAAACTTTCTTCATATCATCAGGAGGTAATATTATTGAGGCTCAAGGTCTGCCTATTCTCTTATCACTTACTATAAATAACTAATTTTTCCTCATTTTGGTATGAGAAAGGTTAACAATGAGTCTGTGAATAAAACAGAGATTATGGAACAGATCATCACTACCCTTTTTCTTATTCCTTTCATCTTGACATTCAACTTGGAAATAATAAGAATTCCTGACACAAAACATGAATTGCTAAAATATCCATGGCATTTCATATTGTGCTAGGCATTAAATAATGGACATTCAATAAATTCCTAAAATGAGTTATCCTAATGTCTACTAAGAATTTCATTACCAAGCATAAACCAGATGGTGTCAATTTAAACATATTCTGTCAATTCAAAAGTGTATTTTATTTAATTATTTTTATTTTTTCAGAAACCCATTGCTTGCTAAAAAAGTATATTTACTTCTAATGACTTTATTAATATTATGAAGCAGGGTGAAGTATATTTACTTCTAATGACTTTAATGTTATGAAACACAGCGAAACCCTGTCTCTATCAAACATACAAAAAATTAGCTGGGTGTGGTGGTGCACACCTGTAGTCCCAGCTACTCAGGAGGCTGAGGCGGAAGGATCGCTTGAGCCTGGGAGGCGGAGGTTGCAGTGAGCCAAGATCGTGCTACTGCACTCCAACCTGGGAAAGAGAGCAAGACCCTGTCTCAAAAAAAAAAAAAAAAAAAAAAAAATTATGAAACAGATAATATTTTTTGTATATATTTCCCAATCACAATAAATATGTTTTGTAAGAAAAAAAAATCAGGGATACCACATGTCATTTGCGTTTAGGACTTATCTTTTTGTCATACATTCTATAGCCATGAGGTTTCTTGGAGGATATTTTTTATTTTTCACCTATATTTATTAATTTGTTCCTTACATTTGAAAAAGGAGAGCAAATAACTCAAGTGTACTCTAATCTTGCAAATCTTGTTTCAAAATTAATTCTCATAAAGCAGTAATTCTGCTTCTTGAAACAGGAGATAATAAAAACCCATGCTTCAAAATATACACAAAGTGACATTTTTTCATTACTCATTCCTTACCTTGTAAGACCCAATAAACATCACTAGTCTTTGCCAATTTTTCTAAAAGTGGTGCTATGGAGGTGATGTTCATTTTATATTGAGAAAGCGCTTCACTGCTACCATTGTGAATCTTGATGGACCACTAAAAAGAAGTACAAATTATGCATTAATTTAGTATTTATCACAAACAATTAAAGTATATAATTTACCTACTGTAACAAGTGTTATTATTTTAGATATTTCTCATTTTATTTAATATTAGAATAAAATTCAGTCAAATTAGTTCATGAAATATATGAAAGCAATTAGAAAAAGCTGTTATAAAACTATACTTTCAATGTATAACATTCAAGAAGAATACAATTTTAGATATAAAAAACACTCATATTTAACAGTAAGTTTCCTAAGTTAATTCCAGTATTTGTATTAAAATTCATCAATCTAATCATAATAGAAGTAGGAATTAAAAATTTAGGTACAATCAAGAATTCTGAACACAAATTAACTTTTTCTTAGCATGTTCTTAAACGTGAAACAAAATCATTAAGTAAGAATACAGATGATAACTTACTGTGGCAGCTCCTGCTACAATCACATGTGGCTTTGCAATGGAATCCTAAAGGAAGACAAATCTTTATCATAGTATTATAATCAGTTCAGGGAATTACTACAAGTAACATCATTTAATTTTTTTCCTTAAAATGTAAGTTCTTCCTTCTAAATTCATTCTAAGTTTTTAGAATTCCTTATTATTATTGCTTATTATTGTTATAACAAGACAGATTTAGGATATCCAATGCCTAAAATCTTGTAACGCTACATATACACACAGGATGACAGAAATTTGGATGGTTAATTCTTTGGTGTTCTTAAAAAAAAGCACCACTGAAATCTAACACGACCTAATATTCTGAACTCTGAGTAAAATGCTTAGAGTAAAGCTCTAGTGTATTATGTCAGTCAATTAAAAGGTAATCATGGAAGCCTACAGGGTACACAGTGTAAGTGTTAAATAAAATACAAGGTCAGTGCCAAAACAATCTTCTGGGAAAGTGAAATCCAATGCATATTTAACAAAATAAACTGATGATTATTAAAGACCACATGTGGAAAAATATAAGTAGAGATCCCTAAAAATCCTCACCAAATGCAAATTAGAGTATTTCCCCCCATTATATATGGTTTCAGTTTCCACTGTTTCAGTTACCCATAGTCAATTGAGGTCTGAAAATAATAGAAACTTCCAGAAATAAATAATTCCTAAGTTTTAAATTATGTGCCATTCTGAGTAACATGATAAAGTCTCATGCTATCCGGCACTGTCTCTCCTGGGATGTGAATCCTCCCTTTGTCCAGGGTATCACGCTGTATATGCTACCTGCCCATTAGTCACTTAGTGGCCGTCTCAGTTATCAGACCAACTGTCACAGCATTACAATCCTTGTGTTAAAGTAACCCCTATTTTACTCAATAATGACCCCAAAGCTCAAAAATAGTGATGATGAGATACTGTTATAATTGTACTATTTTATTATTAGTTATTGCTGTTAATCTCTTAGTGTGCCTAATTTATATATTAAACTTTATCATACTTTTGTATGTATAGGAAAAAACATTGTACACATAGGGTTTGGTACCATCTATGGTTTCAGGCACATGCTAGGGTCTTGGAACATATTAACCATGGATAAATGGGGACTACTGTATACTATTTATAATATATAGCAATAGTATATTACAGTACAATTATATTTGCAGCTAACTATATGTTATATATAACAAGTATATAGTACTTAGTAACTTACTAAACACTTTCTCTTAAATTATCTCATTGTAATATAGATTCCTGCCTGCCACCCTGTGGGGCAGGCAAGATGATATTATACATCTCTTATAAAACAAAGATACAGACTCAGAATGGCTAATAGGATATTGCTGAGGCCTGCCAGGTAAGTCGGAACTTAAGTCTTCTGACTTCTGAATCACACACATCACCACATCAAATACCTGATATTGCAATCATACACACAAGAAACAATTAAAAACAAGCATGAAATTTAATAACAAAAAATTGACCAATGTAAAAAAATGACACTTTTTCACTATAAAGGTAATACATGCTTACTGTAAAATACTACAAATATAGAGAAAAATAACAAAATAAATCCATTTTCTTTTAGATATATGACCATTTCCAGTTGAGCATGCTTCATTTTACACTGTTGAAGAATTTTCAGTGGATACAAAATTTTAAATATTTTTTCCTCATCCCTAGGTGGCTTTCTCATTCCCAAAACTTACATTGGTTATCCCAAACCTTACATTCCATATACAGTCTCTCCTGCCCTCCTTCTCAGCATAAAGTTTAATTCTCAAACTTCATAGAGAAAATAAAATTCATCCGACAAGTCTGCTCTTGCCTTCCTTCCTTCATTCTTACAACTTGTCTATACTCCCCCAGCTATCTTCCTCTGACAAGAGAGTAAAGAAAATATGTCCCTATTCTTCTCAATGGCTAATGCCTTCCTCTGTCTACATTTCCTCCCTTTTCACTTCTGGAGCTATGATCCATGAATTATGTCCTCCAACTCTCATAGTATCAATCTTGTCCTCCTCCTCCACTCTCTTTCCTTCCCTCAACCTAAAAGTGTTAAATCATCCTTATCCTCAAAAAGTTTTCCTTGAACCCTGTCTTACACCTGTAACCAACAGATTACTTGAAAGAGTATTCTGCCCTCACTATGCCAATTTCTTTATCTCTCATTTATGCCTCAACTTAAGTTTTGAATTTGGGCTTCACTATCCATTAAAACTGTCCTGAGAGCCCATTAGTGAACTCTGGATTGCCAAATGCTGTAGCTTCATTCCACCTTAGCAAGTTTTGAAAGGGACACTGGTGACTACCCATCTTTTAAAATCCTTACCTCCCCTGTATGTGATTTTACAGTCCTTCCTCCCTTGGTTTTCTTCCTACTCCTTTTACTGCCACTTCTCAGAATCTCCTTGGTAATTCCATTCCTCATAAGCCCTCTCTCCTCTTTAATCTCTAAATTCTCTGCCTATTCAATTTCTTCCATTCAAATAACTTCAAATATTACCTCAATCCATACCAAGACTACCCAAATCCATTCAATAGCTCAGACTTAATGACTTCCATTCACTTACAGAATTACATCTAAACTGCCAGTTTCTTTACAAGTTAGCCTAATTTCCTTCCACTCCTCCACTGTATCACATCATTCTGCTTAAAACTTTCAATGGTTCTCCACTACCCTCAATTCAATTCAACGTACTTATTTTCAGAAAATACACCCTGAAGTATTTAGAAGTAGTTAAAAAATAGATAAAATAAATCCACTCCCCCAGTATGGCTGAGGATATCATTCATAATGTAGTACCTGCTTCCTCATCTCTTGTCAACTCCCTGTAAAACGAAGCACGTGAAAAGAACAACCAAAACCAACACACATAAAGAAGCATTTTGTATGTCAGCTCCACTAAAACTGCTGGAGAGTCCCTGAATAGGCTATACATCATCTTCAGCATCATTGCACAAGCTGTTTCCTTTGCAGGAAATAACCCCACTTCTCGTTCCCCACACTCACCTTCAAGACCACTTTATCTGAAAACTAATTTTGAAAACTTAAGAAAAATACACTTAGGGCTTATCCTCTGTAATCCTGTTTGCTGTGCCCTTTACATTTCCTATTTTAGCACTTGTCACATTGCTTAAGTATCTGTATGTGTTATTCATCTAGCTCTTTGAGGGGAGGATCTCTATAACGTTAACCAGTGTATCAACAGTGTCTAGCTTAGTGCCTAGAATATAGAAATATCTGTGGAATAACAATCTACTTAGAGTCCTCTCAATTCAAATTTGCTTTTATGCCTATAGGCTTCTATAAGGCTATTCTAGTTAATAAGTGTATCTTCTTCCTAACTCACAGTTCTCAAATATTATTTCCTCTATAAAATTTTCTCAGATAACTACCAACACTCTCACCACCTCCTATCCTAAGTGTCTATCCATGGTACTTTCATAATCCTTTGAGCTCAATTCTGTGTTAGCCTTTGCCTTCTTATGTCGTTATTCATCAGTAATTCACCATCTACTAGATTGCAAATTCCTTGAGGGCTGAGACTGGAGCTAATTCCCAGCCACATTCCTATTACTCAGCACAAAGCTGGCAATAGTACATTAACAACAAAAATGTGGGTCTCCAAATCCTCAGGATCTAGCAGCTTACTACAGAAATAGTAAAAAGTAAATACATACATCCATATATACTCCTGAGTGAATGAAAACCATCAACTAATCAATCTCAAGTGACCATGTGGTCATCTACCTAAATAAATTAAATATTTCTTTTTCTCAACAACCATAATGAGTTTTACAATAGAATCTAAGGCTCCAAAAACTAGCTTTAACAAATGTATGAGAATTGAAATTTTGGTTATGTAATATATCTCCAGGTTAGTAAATAGCCTATAAAGGTTTTCTGTGATCTTGCAGGATTTACAAATTGTAGTGTATTAATGTTTAATTGTGAATTTCTACTACTTTAATAAATACATTTTCAGTCCAGCACAAATATGAAACATATGCTTAAATAATTTCAAATATACATGGAACATTATTCTACACTTCTGGACATTTAAAAACATATAAACAAAACCAAAACACACTGTAGACCTCAATTTACCAGAAATTTGAATTCTAGAAGTTGTCTACATGTTTGTTTTTTGAAAACATTTGCTCAAAGAAACAAGGTTAGAAATGGTGGCTAGGTTCCCACAGGATCCTACAAAAGCCTATTTATTGTATGATGTGGTTGCAATACTAAATATTTATTGTGAAGAAAAAAAAATCCCAAACCAAAAAACTGTTGCAGGGAAATTAATTGAACAAAACAAGGTCAATAAAATTAAATATTGTTTTATTCATCTCAAATACAAATGTCTCTGGGAAAGAATACAGGTTTAATTAAAGGACTGACAGACTGTATGGAAACTACTACAGAGATTGTAAAATGGACTTGTGAGAACTTAGGAGTTTTCTGAGGTTAATAGCATGCTTACCTTTACATCTAATTTATCTCCAAACATCATGAGCTAAAACATATTAGTCTTGCCTGCTGGGTCACAAATATAATAATAAAAGGAAAAAAAGGCTATAAAAACAAATAAACAAAAGTTTCCTGAAGTATCTGGACATGAGTTTGAAGGAGAAAACAGAAAAATGCACTAGAGAATATACACTGTGCTGGGAAGATCACCTGGGTTTGAATCAGCTGAACTACAGCAGTAACAGAAGACTTTAAATATGAAAAGTCTGGGATAAACATAATCTGCTTTATGGTTAGAATGGTGATAATGGAGCAGAGATATTGGATCTACATCTTCTCTTCTCAATGAAGTGCTAGAATCAGTCCAGCACAGTTTAGTTGCTATTAAGAAGGCAGGTATAAAATATAGGAGAGTGGGACAAGTGAGTAAAGGGAATAAAAATATGCTTGTGTAAAGGGAATAAAAATAAAAAAAAAAAAAGCCTATGTTTTTTAAATACAGACCTCAGTCCACACTTTGATACACTGTTTCATAGAACCATTAACTTCAGGATGCCACAGAAAATCCTAAAAGAGAAATGTTAGAAGTAAAGAAAAAGTTGAAGAAACTCTTAATTCCACCATTCAAAATAAACATTAACATTCTCTTACAGAGTACTTAAAAGTAAAACACTACCTTGTCCAAGACATCTTCAATTCCTATCTTAATTTGGCAAGAGTCTTACAATAGTTCTCCTTGAATCCACTTTTGTCTTCCTCTAACCTACTGTCCACATTTTAGCCAGAGCAATCTTTTAAAAACTTAAATCTGATCTTGCTATGCCCCTGCTTAAGTATTCAGAGACTTTCTACTGCCCTCAGAATAAAATCTAAAATCCTGTAAGTTGTTAACAAGGTGCAGAATCTCCACCTGTCCCTTCTGCCTTTACTCCTGCCACTTGTACCCTTGCTCTCCCTTTTGGTCCTCAGTCGGCTCTTGGAATGCTCTATGTTCTCCTTTTTCTCTAGGACTTTGCACATACTATTCCTTCTGTCCATAATGCTCACAAAACTCTTCCACTGAGCCTGCCTAATTCTTACTTATTTTTGAAGCCTCAGTTAAAATATCACTTCTGCATGGAGGAAAATGACTTTCAATTCCTTGCTCTGCACATTCCCATTGCCCCTCTTTTTCTTTTCTGCCATCCTTGTCCCACTTGTATTTGCATGCAGAGAACTATAAAGACCTGCAATCTTCATTAGGTCAAGGCCATTTTTGTCTTGATCCTCACTGAATTCTCACTGATTGGGAATTCAGAAAATTCACATATATTCTTTTATGGACATTAACCCGGAACACATACTGGTTTCAAATTCATGTGCAAGATTATTCTTTCCAAATAAAATTTTGAGACCATTACATAAAATAACTCACACAAACTTTTATTCCACTATCCTAATATTCTTATCTACTCTCAAGAATACATTGAAATATACTTAGTATGTTCAATTAACCAATGAATATAGTTTCAACATTGTAACATCTAGCTTACTATTACATGAACTTACCACTTTAACTGATGCAGTCTTGTCTTCAAAAGGAATGTTTTCATGCTGCCATAAAAGGAGACAGAGAAATATTAATGTATAGATTAAATTTATATAAAAAATGCCCCATTTAGCTGCTTTGATTTATTTTTATGCATATTTTTGTTGATATATTTTTATGCACCAAATCTCAATTATCTATACATTCAACCCGAAAGGGAAAAAACCGACATAGAACACAACAAAGTGACACTAGTTAAATTGTCTACATGTGATTTTCAACATCTAAGATATAGTTCAAAAATAAAATTTCAACAGCAAACAAGGAGATACATAAACATGTCTGTATAAATTACCTTTTTGCCAAGATTGCCAGGATTCCAATTTAGTTCCAGTATTACTATTTTTTGTTTGATTTGATTTTGTTTGTTATTCTGAGACAGAGTCTCACTCTGTTGCCTGGGCTGTAGTACAAGGAGCAATCTCGGTTCATTGCAACCTCCGCCTCCCGGGCTCAAGCAATCCTCCCACCTCAGCCTCCCAAGTGGCTAGGACCACAGGTGCACGCCACCATGCCTGGCTAATTTTTTAAAAAAATTTTTTGTAGCGACGGGGTTTTGTCACGTTGCCCAGCTGGTCTCGAACTCCTGGGCTCAAGTGATCCACTCACCTCAGCCTCCCAAAGTGCTGGGATTACAAGGCATGTGCCACCGTGCCCAGCACTTGTATTACTATTCATCTCAGAAATGGACTGCTTCCCTTCATTTTCTGAGGCCCTTTCAGTTAGGCAGAGCCACATGGCTAGTTCTGGCTAATGCGACGTGGATATATGTGACATACGCCACTTCCAGGCTGAATTTCCCAAGGCAATTCTCTAGTCTCTAACTTAACTGATGCACAGACTAAGGAAGCTCAATGTTCCAAGGTACTCTAGAAGGTAGTAAAAATTCCAATAGTAGGAACTGCTGAATGACTGTGTGGAGCAAAGCCTGTTGCCAGCCCACCTAGGACATGCAACGCTAAGCAAGAACTTCTGTTTTGTTAAGACGTTAGAGTAGTTTGTTGCTGTAGCAACATCTAGTCCATTCTCACCAGTGTACTAGTATAGGCCCTGAGTGACAGGAATGGATGAACATGACTCTAGGTTGCTATAGGTTTCACTTTGAAAACAGTATATAAATAGCCCATTTGCAGAAAAAATTGAAATGTGAACACTACAACTTCTTGTAACCAAATGTTCTACATAAAGAATGGCATTCCTTTCAGAAATAGAAATCGTAGGTGGGAAAGGGGTAAAGGTGGTCAGTAAGAAGCTAATTCTGTTGCTAAAATCAAAGCTGAAATGTTTTCATTAATTCAAACAGACAAATAGTATTTATACTGTAATCTCCATGAAACAAAATTTGTTCTATCAACAGGTTAACTTTTTAGATTCTTGTTGGTGCTTCTAAAACATCACTTTCCAAAAGGAGTCTCGAGACTATTAGTTCAGTGAAACTTTAAGTTTCTTTGGTGAAATAAATCTGGGATATACTGGGTCAAACAAAATCACACAGGTGTTTTCCTCCTTCTACCACATCCTCAACCTTTTAAAAATTTGTCCTCAGAAAAATAATGTCATGAACTTTCTTTGTCTTACTTTGCATACAGTAATTAATGCAACTCGATCTCTTTCTTCTTTTTCCTTTTTTAATATAATGTTTGATATATACAAATAAGTCACATATATGAAAATCACAAAGCACAGTAGAACTAAATCAACACTCATGAATCCATGATACAAATCAGAGCACTGCCAACACACTGAACCACCTATGTGGTCCTTTCCCTATCTTAAGTCCCTGCTTCACCCAAAGTAAACCACTCTCCTAAATTGTGTGTTTATACTTTGTTTTAAAAACTTTCTTTAGTTTTTGTCACATAAATATGCATCTTTAAATGATATATTGTTTAATGTTGTTGGCTTTCTCTCCAACTTTCAATTTTAAAAATTTTCAATCTTATAGCAAAGCTGACAGAATTAAACGAACGCCCAAAACCTTTTACCAACCATTAACATTTCCTGTACCAGCTTTACCTTTCTCCCTCTCTACACATACATATTCTATAGTTTTTCTCTTTTGCTGAACTATGTGAAAGTTCATTAAAGAAGTCATAACATTTCACTCTTAAATACTTAAGCATATATCTCTTTAAGCACATACCCACACGAACGTTCTCTTACATAAGGAATTTTGACATTGATAAAATATTATCTCATTTAATACACAGTCCATATCCAATTTTTTCCAATTTCTCAAGAATATCCTTTATATAGCTCTTATATTTTAATCTACAATCCAATTAAAATCAAGTGTTACATTTAGTTGTCACATCTCTTAATCTCGTATAACCTAGAACATTCCCTAGCCTTTAAAAACTTGCACAGCTCAGTCAGTTTATCAATACTATTTTTATTAATATCAAGTATCATACTTACTATTTTTGTAGAGTACAGGTCAACTGATAAAATACGTTACTATCTAGATTATAAACAGCACTAATGGTTATCTTCTTGGATATGTCTCTTAACAAAAGAGTAAGAATTTCCCTAATTGTTCCATAGATCCATAGGCCATACAAATGTTCACCATCAAATGATAACGCAAATTATTTTCTGGAGTATTTGTAACAATTTACACTCTCACTAGCAGTTATAAGACATCTACTGGTACACAGCCTAATACATCTGGTCTGTTTTCATATTTCTTGCCATTGTCAGATTTAATTTCTGCCATTATAGTAGGTATAAAAAAAACTCACTTCCACTTCAGTAAAATGCCTGGCCATGCTCCCTGACCCCCACCTTTTGTCTACTGGGTTATCTTTTTCATTAGTTTGCAGTTTCTGATATTTCTTGAATATATGTTGTAAATTATCTTTTCTCAATTTGTGGCTTATCTTTTTTCTTTAAGGTATCTTTTGGTGAATAGATACTCTTTATCTTAAGGTATCTTTTGGTGAATAGATACTCTTTATCTTAAGGTATGTGAATTTATCTTTTATTTTATGGTTAGCACTTTTTGTTCCTTATGTAAGAGATGTTTCCCTACCTTGAGATAATGAAGATATTCTCCTACATTTTATTTCTATTTCTAAAGGTTTCAAATTTTTTACTTTCACATTTAAGTTTAAACTCATCCATCTAGAAACGATTTTACTAGATGGTGTGAGGTAGGAATCCAATTTCAACTTTTTCCATGTGCTAATTGCTTTAGCACAATTAACTGAACAGACCTTCCTTTCCCTAGAGATCATCAATGGCATTTCTGTTACTTTTAAAGTCATTTTATATGCATGTTTCTATTTTAGAGCTCTACAGTCTATTCTAATGGTTTCTTTGTTTATACCAATACCACACTGTTTTAATTACTACAAGGTAAAATTAAATCTTGATATTGTATAACAAATCCTTTCCACCTTGTTCTTCAGATTTGTTGTGGTTATTCTTGGTCTGCTGCCCATCTATAAAAAATTTAGAATCCATCGGTAAAGTTGCACAACAAATTCTGTTAGGATTTTGTTGGAATTACACTGAACCTACAGATCGGTTTGGGAATAACTGACATCTTTACAATACTGAGTCTTCCCATCCAAGGAAACAGTATATTATATTCCATCTAATTATGTCATTTGGAATTGTCTTCCAATAAATTTTTATGGCTTTTCTGCATACAGATCTTCCACATTTGCTGTTTATTCCTATGTAACATATAGCTGTTGCCGTTACCATTGCACACGGTATATTTTAAAAGCCTTTAGAACTTTACATTGTTGGCATGTAGATATTTGTTAATTTTTAACAGCTTTGTTGAGGTATCACAATTTTTGTATGTACATCTTATTATCAGCTACCTTGTTAAAATCTTTATTACTTCTAGTAAATTTTCTATAAATTTTTTGGGATTTTCTATGTAGAGAATTGTATCATATGAACTCCTCAGTTTATTTCTTCCCAATTCTTACATCTTTAGATTACCTTTTATGGCTAGAATCTCTAATACAATGTTGAACAGAAGCAGCAGTAATGAACACCTTTGTCTTTTTCCTGATTTTAATGGAAGTATGTCTGACATTTCACCATTAAGAACATTTTCTGTAGGCTTCTACAATTTTTATCAGGTTAAGTTTGATATAAAGTAACTTACCTTAAAGCAAGAATGACACCAATTCTCTGATATTGTTGGAACTTGCTTAATGGTGTAATACACGTTAAAAATAAAAAGTTGGCCGGGTGCAGTGGCTCACACCTGTAATCCCAGCACTTTGGGAGGCCGAGGTGGGTGGATCACGAGGTCAGGAGATCGAGACCATCCTGGCTAACACGGTGAAACCCTGTCTCTACTAAAAATACAAAAACAAAATTAGCTGGGCGTGGTGGCAGGCGCCTGTAGTCCCAGCTACTGGGGAGGCTGAGGCGGGAGAATGGCGTGAACCCGGGAGGTAGAGCTTGCAGTGAGCTGAGATCACACCACTGCACTCCAGCCTGGGCAACAGAGCGAGAACTCCGTCTCAAAAAAAAAAAATAAATAAAAATAATTAAAAAGTTCCACGCGTGCTTCAAACAAACATTTCCCTGATTGTAAAGTGTATTTTCTAAATTATTGAGCTATAAGCTTACAGAATCAAGCATGTTAATGCTCTACTATATGTTTACTAGTTTTATTTGCTTGTCCTATCATTAACTGAGAGCAGTATGCAATTCTCCCACTGTAAGTGAGAATTTGCCAATTTCTCCTTGTAGTTATATTTTTGCTTTATAAATTTTAAGGCTAATTTATTAGATGCCTACAAGTTTAAAATCTTAGTTATCTGAACTCTTCGTCATTAGAAAGTGACTTTCTGTATCCCTGAAAATGCTTTTGCCTTAAAATCTATTTATCTTATACTAATATGACTTAACTTTCTTTAGTATTTACCTGGTGAATCCTTTTTCATTTTTAATTAAAACCTTTCCATGTCCTTCTTATTTTAAATATGTCTTTTTAAGCAGCAGAAAGTTCTCTTCAAGAGCAATCTGAAAATCTGTGTTTAGCTCACAAGTTTAGGCTACTTGCATTTATTTTGACCATAAATGTTTTTACCATCTTACTCTTTTCTTTTTTGAAATGGAGTCTCACTCTGTCGCCCAGGCTGGAGTGCAGTGGCGCAATTTCGGCTCACTGCAAGCTCCGCCTCCCGTGTTCACGCCATTCTCCTGCCTCAGCCTCCCGATAGCTGGGACTACAGGTGCCCACCATCATGCCCAGCTAATTTTTTGTGTTTTTAGTAGAGACAGGGTTTCACCGTGTTAGCCAGGATGGTCTCGATCTCCTGACCTTGTGATCCACCCGCTTCGGCCTCCCAAAGTGCTGGGATTACAGGCATGAGCCACCGTGCCTGGCTTTACCATCTCACTTTTTAATTTCTATCCCTGCCACATATATGTAGCTTTTTCATATATGGATAATATATGCAAAAACAGCTTTTTACATAGACATATAATTGTGTGTGCGTATGTATATCATATGTATATGTATGGTACATGCATGTGTATAAAATACATATTTGGCATTAGATGAGTTTGGTTTTTGCTTAATTTTTTTATTCTTCTGATTGAAATTTATACATTCTAATTCAATTCTTTCGGTCCTTATTCTTGAAGTTTCACTGTGCATCTTTAACTTAAGTTTTAAAAAAACACAATATTTTAGAGAATATAGAGTACATTAGAACACTTTAATTGTGATCATTTACCCTTGACATATCTGCTATTATTAGCCAGTTCTTTAGTTCTGTCTTTTCACTAAGTGCAAAAGATATTATTATTTTATACAAACATTGTTTAGATTTATATACATTTTTACTATTTTCTTAAACCATTGCTTCTTACATTTCAGATAATTTTTTTCTGAACATTTCCCTCATTCCTGATGGTTATCCTTCAGAAATTACTTTAGTGTTAAGTCTATTTTGTAGTAAAACCTCATCATTTTTAAATATCTGAGAATGTCCTATAATACATCTCAAGAACACAGAAATTTTAACCCCAGGTATACAATTCTAGGTTGAAACTTACTTTCAGAACTTTAATGCTACTATTCTTTTTTTTTCTTTTTGAGACAGAGTCTCACTCTGTCGCCAGGCTGGAGTGCAGTGGCATGATCTCAGCTCACTGCAACCTCCACCTCCTGGGTTCAAGTGATTCTCCTGACTCAGCCTCCCGAGTAGCTAGGATTACAAGCACATGCCACCACAATCAGCTAATTTTTTGCATTTTAGTAGAGATGGGGTTTCACCGTGTTGGCCAGGATGGTCTCGATCTCCTGACCTCAGGTGATCCGCCCACCTCGGCCTCCCAAAGTGCTCGGATTACAGGCACGAGCCACCACACCCGGCCTTATTTTTGTATTTTTAGTAGTGATGGGGTTTCACCATGTTGGCCAGGATGGTCTCCGTCTCTTGACCTCGTGATCTGCCTGCCTCAGCCTCCCAAAGTGTTGGGATTACAGGCGTGAGTCACCACACCCAGTCCATCAACAGTATTTTTTAAACCTAGGCTCCAGTTGGTTTGACATAGAAGGAGCCCCCAGAGTATCTAACCTGCCCTATGGCTGGAAGCAACACAAAATTGATTTCTTTACTGTAAGACTTCTCAAGTTTTTAATATCCCAGCCTAAATTAAAACTATCTAAGAGGGAGATACGATATCTAGCTCTGCCCAAATTTATTTGACCAAAGCTTCTCACAGAACTAGTCTCCCACAAAGCATAATTTGAAAAAATTCACCTCTAAAGTCTCTTTTTAAAAAAATTTGACTCAATACACAAAAGAAATCAAATTCAAACAAAGAATTATCTTCAATATTCCTATTCTACCCAGACATACCCATACCAGGCTTTAAATAAAAGTAGTAAGCTTTTATAATATGCCAGATTATGCTAGGGACAAGAAATATATTTAAAAATAATAATGATGATATGTAATTTCTGTCCTCAAGGTGTGCAGAGACAAGGTAACACATAATTTGGCAAATGCTCCACTAGCAGCTTGAATTAAATATTTTCTTGAAAATTGTCTCTTTAAGACGGGGGCACACTATCTTTGTTTCCTTTTAAATGCATATAAATTAATCTTGTCTGATATCTCGTTTGATAATCTTGGGATAACTGAGCATCCTAGACTATAAAAACTGGAAACCTAAGTGTTGCAACTAGGGCTCAGAAACAATGTACCATATTGTATCTACTTTTGGCTGCAGACTAAACCATTATAGCTTTTTTCAACTACCTATTGTCAAATCCATTATTCGAATTTTTAGAAAGTCATGCAACTTTAAGCCAAGAAATATTAAAACCTTCATAGTAATCAGAAATCTCTCTACTTTTTAAAAGTTTACTAAAGGCTGGGCACAGTGGCTCATGCCTGTAATTCCAGCACTTTGGGAGGCCAAGATGGAAGAATTGCTTGAGCTCAGAAGTTTAAGACCAGCTTGGGCGAAATAGTGAGACCTCGTCTCTATTAAAAAAATTTTTTTAATTATTAAAAATAAAAGTTTATTAAAATTTTTCACTTTAAATTGTAATAATTTCATGTTAAATAGTTCTGAGTCTTCTCTACAATTTCATATGTATAAATGCAAATGGAAAATACAGATAGCAAATAAAATGAAAAGTTGACTGTATCATTTGTTTCCATTATTCTCATTCTCACATGGAATAGTTGCTAAAGATTTAGGACCTGGTATCATCATCACTATGTTAATAACTACTTAGCTGTGAAGGCTCTTAAGTTTTCAACTCTTTAACATAGGCAGATTTTCATAAATTCATGAGCTACTCCCCTCACAATTCTAAACTTTCTTGTGTTCGACTTTCCCCCCTTTGCTATTCCCCTCTCCCAATCACATGGTATTTGAAGACAATGATTACAATCTGGGATCACTTAAAAAGGTATAAACAGAAGATATGATGAGATAATTCACCAAAAAATAATGAACTAATTAATTAATATATACAAAGAAATTAATCCTTGTTAGTTTTCAAAGTTATATTTTTAAACGAGAAATTTCCTAACAAAATCAATAACAGAAACTTATTGCACTGCTGTTTTAATTTACAGCATGATCACCCAATGCCAGAAAGTTTGCAGAAAATTAGGCCCCAAAATATATTGCTAATTAGTATAAATTGAAATAATTTTGCAGCATAATTAATAATTTTTAAATGTTTATGTTCTTTAACCTAATATTTGAATTTTAGAGATTCCACCCTAAGGAAATAATTTAAAAAGCAAAGTTTTCACACAAAGAAGTAATTTAAAATGTATTTTTTAACTGCAAAATTAAATTAGAAAACTATAAAAAGCTTTAAAAAGTGGAAAATTATATAAAATTACATTATATCCACTCAATAATATGTTGCCATTAAGAAGATACTTAAGTTGATTATATAATGGTGAATAAGTGGTGAAGAAAAAAGCAAGATATAAAATTGCACATATTAAAAGATTACTAGTATGTTTTTTTAAAAAAAGAGATGAGCAAAAAGAAGTATGGAAAAATACTAACAGGAGAATAAGGGGTGATATTTTCTCTTTGTCTTCTTTCTAAGGAAATTTAAAAGTTTTTCCATGGTAAGAATTTATTATTTCTGAAAACTAAAAGTTTAAGTTATTACAATAAAAAGCTTGCCAATGTCTTAGCCACCACTTCTTTTTGTCATCTTCCTCATTAAAGCAATTCATCCCTCTTTTTCCCCAACCTTTCTGAAAATCAAAGTAAAATTTTTTCAGCTCCTACTCAATCTGGAGAGACACACTCCTCCTGTAACTATTCAGTTGGTTAACTTCTAAAACACTCTACAGAAGGGAATAGACAAGTTTTACCTTATTTCCTTCTTCTTTGAATTGGGGATTAATTATTTTTACAAAAGAATAAAACAATTGACGAATTCTGGAATCTCCAATAAATGCAATATGTTTATCTACAAGGCAGTTCTTTGCTTCACTGAAAGCAACAAAGAAAAATTAATTAAAATAAGTAAAATCAGCCATCCTGGCATTTCAAAGCACACCGTTTTTGAAGAAAGTTGATCCAGATTGTTACACATACCATTATATTGCTTTATAAGCAGGTGGCCAGGTTTGTTTAACTTACCACTCCACGTTCCTGTAATCAGTTAACTCTCTGTAATAGCTCGATACATTACATGTTTAAGATGTACTCTAACTGTATTAGGTGCTTTATATCTATTATCTCTTAATCCTTAGAATAACTCCATAAGATAGGTATCCAGGTGCCAGAGCAAGAGTCTTTTGCTCAAGGATTATTGCCTTAGGCCTAGTTATCACACACCTGAGATAAAGCAGATTGGCCAAAGCCCTTCCCTAAAACCTTAGTGGGCAGGGAAATCTTCATTTGCAATCAGCCCTACACTCAGTCAGCAAGTCTCTACCCCAACATAGAGATGAAAAGTACTGTTTCACCAACCCCTCTCCACTACATATTAAGACCCATCCTGAAAAAGAAAACAACAAAATGAAGAAATGTTACCTGATTTTGTATTTATGCATCATACAACTGTGAGGTTGCCAAACTTTCTCTCCAAGAAATCTGCCACTTGAGAGAAGGTATTCACACGAATCATTGCCTAAAACAGTTAAACACAACAGTGTTGTAAACAATAGTTAAAATTTTACACATCGGCTATCTTGACCCTATATAAGTTCCTTGAAATAAAAAAGTAGAGTTTTCTCTGTTTCACTGTACCGCCCAGGTTCACAGTTCCCACTCATGAGAAACATGGTAAATATTAATACATTAATATTCAAGAGGACAAGAGAAACTGATGGCTTATACTTCACCTAACTCCTAATGATACATTCCCTGCTCTGGCAGTTCCTTCTGCTTCAGGTTTTCTTTCCGGGGACATTATCTCAACCTTAAATTAGCCTTTACATCTGAATATCTCCCCTACTTATAGCTGAGAATGAAAAGTTTCAGGGAGGCCAGGCACGGTGGCTCACACCTGTAATCCCAGCACTTTGGGAGGCCTAGGTGGGCAGATCACTCGAGGTCGAGTGTTTGAGACCAGCCTGGCCAACATGGTGAAACACCATCTCTACTAAAAATACAAAAATTGGCTGGATGTGGTGGCACACATCTGTAGTCCCAGCTACTCGGGAGGCCAAGACATGAGAATTGCTTTAACCCAGGAGGCAGAGGTTGCAGTGAGCCAAGATCATGCCACTGCACTCCAGCCTGGGTGACAGAGCTAGACTCTGCCTCATTTTAAAAAAAAAAAAAAAGTTTAAGGGATAAAAGACACGACTTTGGAAATGACTTCCTATTCAACTACTATAATACACAGTGCATCAGCATACCTGGAGACCTAGTTTTAAACAGAAAGTTCCGTAACTAGGAAACTCCTCAGTCCCAGGTAAACTGAGACAAAGAGTCACTCTACACTTTTGGATATTTTACTGTACATTAGCTAAATATACATGACCAAAGGGGTTAAAAGAGAGTTTGGAGGCATTTAAGCTCAAATATGTCAAAGGAATGGGGTGGGTTGGGGGTGTGTGGGGGGGCAGAATTAGATGTTTAGGTTAACTATGGGGATATAATAAAATATTATTTAATTTAATCTCCAGTTCTTTATCAATAGTCAATAGCAAGTTATACTTGACATTTAGTTAAAGTCGGGCTAAGGAGTCTGGGAGGAAGAATACTGCAGAACAAAAAGGATATTGAGCATTTCAGGGTAGAGATAAGGAAGACACAAAGATATTTAAAGGAGAAGAACACATCTCTTTTCTCAATCTAGTTACTCATTATCTAGCCAAAATACAGACAAAAGGTGATACAAATACAAGACAAGTATGCATAAATATTGAAAGTGGTGTTGTTTCCTATGTCATAAATTCTAAAGTAGAACAGGAAGGAAAAGTTAAAATGTTGCATTATCTTATTGATGGGAAACTGGTTAAGGAAAGCAGGGTATCAATTATTAAATTTGTGTTAACTATATACACGGCTTGAGCAGTTTTTTTTTTTGTATTTCAAAGATTTTTTAATAACCTGTCTCTAAGTAAACTACAAATAATTAGTTCTTCATTTTCCCCAATTATTAAAAACTAATTCTAGTTCTAAAAAACAAAATTAGGCTACATAAATAACTAAGGATGAGTAAAAAAAGAACTCCAGAAACACACAAGTTATTTTTCTACAAATAGCATTTCTGTAGCATTCTTTTATAATGGCCATATGGTAAAATCTTATTAAAACCTAGCAAATGTTTAAAATTAAGGTGAAAATTCCATATTTATAGCATTTCTCTTTAAATCTATTAAACCAAGTTAAAAGTTAGCAAAACATCTATTTTTTAAAAAAGCTGTAAGTTGTAAATAACTAGGTGTTAATCCTTTAAGGTTTTCTTCTTTTTCTTTTCTGTTTTCTTTCTCCCCTCCCCTTTTCTAGGGGGAGGGGGGTGTTGTTATTTGCCTTTTGTCTTTTGTCTTTGAACTAAAAGCCCAGACAGAAACACACCTTAATCAAACTTCAGTGTCTGGGATTATGCATCTATATGGGTTACCGGTATGTTTTTATAGAGATGGAAACACCATACCAGTATCTCAAAATAACCAGTCGTTTCTCCCCAGAAAACGTGTCTAAAATGCAAATAACTTTTTTTGCCTCCAGTCAATACTATTACCCACATCTTGTTTCTCAGTTGTTGAGTTGATGGAAAACAATAGCTCTAATCTGATGAACCCGTATCAAAAAAAAAAAAAACCATAGCAAAATGAGATTTGAAGTTGTCACTAACCCAAAGGCATTACAAACACAGTTTTTAGAGAATACTGAGCTTTCCATGGAAGAAATTCTTAATTTGCTAATGAATGCTAGTTGATGATGACTTAACATATTTCATAACACAAAGATGTTTTTTACAAGGCTTGTATCTGAAATTAATCCATGTGTGTCTGTATCATATCAGCTAGGGTCCAGTCAAAAGACAGGAAATGTACCAGTTATTTTACCAGAATCTAATATAAAGGATTGCTAAGTAGACAACTGAAAAAGCAAGAAGAGAATGACTTTTTTGTATGTCAGCAAAATTATAAAAATAGTAGTAATAATAAATTACTACTACTATTATAACCTGATTAAAATAAATTAACCTGATCCAGAAAAAACTCCATAAAATTTCATACTCTAAAACAAATTCTCTTTTCTCAGGAAAGAAATTTTTTAAAATAAAATCACTAAATATAAACCTAACAAAACAAACAAACCTAACAAAACAAAACAAAACTTCGGTTGTTATTTTCAATTGTCTAGTATAATTTTGATAGCTATTTTAACACAACTAATGTGAGATAAATGTTGCCAGGCGTTCAGATAAATCAAGCAAGAAACACACACACACACAAAGAAACTAAGAGACAGGACTATCTACTTCAGCTATCTCCAACACCAAGATTATCTGGATGAATGGCTGTCTTCCTCTTTATTCTCTTATCTTAAGTATAAGCATTCTGGTTTGTCAATCTACAATCTCAGAATTTTATGCATGATTTTTCTGTGATAGAAAAATACTTAAAAGCAAACAAACAAAAACAAACTGAAAAATAAAATGTAACAACTAAAGGAAACATCTGATGGCCCATATAAACCCCAACTTATGTTTTCCTTTGAAGAGAATATCTCTGGCACACTGCACCTAAATTTAGACCGAATTATCCTGCTAAAACTGTTTCCTACTACCAACCATTAAAATACGAGATCATGAAGTTTACAGTATAGTCCATAGAATATTTTGTTTGCCTAAGATACAGCAAGTTATACTTTAGCCTGTGCTGAAAATCACCATTAAGATTTATCGTTAGACAAGCAAGGAGTGTCTCATTACAAGAGGTATCATAAAGATCAGGATCTTTCTAACAGTCAAAGAAAGAAAAGGCTAAGAGACCCAGAGCTGCTGCTTTCTTGCTCTAATTTCTGAAGCTTTCAACTTATTTTTCTCCAGAACATCCAATATCATTTAGCACTGGCATTTAATATGCTTAGTGAAAAAAAAAAGAATTTGATTTCAACAAAATTAAGGCATTTGAAGTTAACTTTATCAATTTAAAAAATTAAAATTTATCCAGATTGGAACTATCCTTAAGGCTACAGATATTGGCCATTTGTCACAGAAATGACACCTATAATCAAACTAATAATGGACATTTTGAGATTCATAATGTTAGAAATTGATAACATTTGGAAAAAATATAGTTAAAATGGTAATTATTTTCAAAATGTCATTCTATTATGTGAAAATAATATTAATAATTTTAAAATGCCTACTTTCTAAAATTGAGATTAGAACATGAAATTCAATTAAAGCCACAAAAGAACATAAAAGGAAATAAGGACTTTGAAATCTATTTATCCACAGTTATTTAAGGATTTCCTATTGTGTGTTAGGCTCTGATGATTTAAAGGTTTAAAGATGAGTAAGATACTCTTGGAAGCTCAACAGTTTGTGTGGGTAGGCAGATACCAATTATTACAATACAACACAATAAGTATGTGTAAGTTGCTGGCAGAACTGAACTGCTAATTCCTACTGCTGTGGGTGTGACATTTGAACCAGGCCTTGAAGGAAAAACCTATATTTTCTTTCAAGAGAGAAGTCACTGCAGGCAGAGAAAATCAAATAACTGTGAGACGTATAAACGGGCAAAGCACGTTTAGATTGTGAACCTGGAATTTGGGGAAAATAAGGAAAAAACATAGGTAACAAAAAGTAGGCTCAGGTCAGATTTTGAAGCTTTACACAAACAACTTTTAGAAAATTACCTCCTGACTGGAAAAAAAAATAGAAAAACTCTTAGCTGGTACAATAAAGTTGATTTTTTTTTTTTTTTTTTTTGGGATGCGATCTTGGCTCACTGCAACCTCTGCCTCCTGGGTTCAAGTGATTCTCCCTGCCTCAGCCTCCTGAGCAGCTGGGATTCAGGTGCCCGCCACCACGCCCAGCTAATTGAAGAAGAAGAGGTTTCACCATGTTGGCCACGCTGGTCTTGAACTCCTGACCTCAGGTGATCCACCCGCCTCAGCCTCCCAAAGTGCTGGGATTATAGGCGTGAGCCACTGCGCCCGGCCTGAATTACTGTTTCTAAGTTGTTTAACCCATGCTTCCCTGGAAAATGCTTTCTCCCTCTATCTTCTATACTCCCCACTGTCTAAGAAGTTCTGAGAAAGACAGACTGTAACATAAGGCATGAGACAGACTAACTGGGATCTAAATCCTAGCTCAGTCACTGTGTATCCTTAGGCAATTTAATCTGTCATGCTTCATATTTAAAATGGAAATAATACTGTAATTCACTGAATCTAAGACCACTGATTATTAGACACATGATTATTTTATGTCACAGTAAGAAAAAAATGTTACCAATTAAACTTTGACATGCAATCAAAGTTTTAAAGACTCACCCTGATTACAAAGATGTTAAAAATAGTGGAGAGGAGTGAAATATGGTAATTGTATCTACCTCATAGAATGGTTATAAAGACAAAATGAGTTAAAACATGTAAAACCTTTAGTAGAACAGTCCCTGACATATAAGTGCTCAACGTTAGCACACAGTATTCGCCAAGCTTTACTTTCTGTAGTGGGTAATTCTTTCCTTTACTTTCGGTAGTTTGTAAAGCAAGAGATACTGAATATGTATATCCAAACTGCATTCACTCTACCTTGCCTCAGCACACTCATACTCACACATTCAAAATCCAAATACACAGCCTAATCTCCTTCATCTAATGTAAGATCCTTTCTTATTCTAAAGCAAGATTTTCCAAGCCATGGCCTGGGCTGCTGGAGGCCCAGGATGGCTTTGAATGCAGCCCAAATTCGTAAACCTTCTTTAAATGATACGAGATTTTTTGCAATTTTTTTTAAGCTCATCAGCTATCATGAGTGTTAATATTATGTGTGGCCCAAAGACAGTTCTTCTTCTTCCAATGGGGCCCACGGAAGCCAAAAGATTGGCCACCTCTGTCCTAAAGAGTTATAATGTGAGTCAAATGTATGATTATCTTTGTGTGAAGGGCATTGCACCTGACTCAGTTTGATACTGCCAAAGCATGAGGATATTCCTGGTAAGATGTTTATTTTTCCCAGTCTTCAGCTCAAATTCTTGACATTCAGTCTGGGCAAGTACACTCACCAGGTGTATGCTTCACACTCAAGGCACTGAAGTACCTATGGAAACTGATGACTTACTTCTGGAGAAGGCTTTATAAACAATCCCAGATTGCTACACTGACTCATAAGTCCCCATCTGACATTCTATTCTCCCTGCTGATGACAGATCTTGATAAGATGAAATCTATAATCTAAAAATAATAGTAGTCCAAGGTTATCAAAAGATAAAAAGCACAAAAAAATAAAAGGAAGGGGACTAGATGTTTATTTATCTTAGGACAATAGTACTGTAGTTATAAAATTTCTCTCTACTACCATTACATAAATTGAATTAAATTACTGTTCTTTTATACCAAATTGGCATAAAATGATTAATAGTAGTTAAAAGAAATATTTCCTCAAAACCACCACAAATCAATGCATCAACATTGCTAGTTTTACATGATTGTAGATAAACCAAGGCCTTGCAAGGTCGTATGGCTGTGATCTGGAGAGAGCTGGAGAGAGGCCAAAAGGTTATAAAGAATCTAATTTTTAAAATCAATTTAGTATACTAAAAGCTGTTCACCCAGTATGGCTCTAGAGTACAATATTTTTAATTCTCAAGAGTTGGAAGAAATAAAGCAGCAAAACTGACCAAAATTGAAAGATCTCCTGGGATGAGAATACAGCGCAGACTCCAACAACCCGTTTATGGATATTTTGCCAAAGTAGGTGTAAATTTAAACGGGCACAGCGCTAATTTGCACCTGTCCATTACACATTACATCTTGACTGATTAATCTCACAGTCACCAAGAGCTGGCCAGATAATGGCTTTGATAGTATTAAGAGCCAAAAATAAAAGATCCTATCATTATTAATTTCCCTCTGCCTGTCAGCCTCTCTCCCAGTGACATTTTTACAAAGGAAAAAAAACAATCAATCAGCAAGGAGAAGTAAATATCCCTTGATTACTGAAAGATAATTCATTCTCAAATCAGGTCATATTTCCTTTTCCCCTTTACACCAATTTCAAAACCCATGGCCAAGGCCTGCTTTCAAAGTGCTTACAACTTGCTTTCAACTGCCCACCTTTACGCCTGTCAACCCACAACTTCCTTCCAAAAATCTGCTCTGGTGCCTTAACTTTGTAAAAAGTGTGCACTCCGAAGCCTTTAAACGTTTCTGCATCACAAAAGCTGGGTGGCACCTCTTCCATTTGGCCACAGGCATCTTTTGCCAGCTGTCGCCCTTTTGGCAAAGGAAAATGGGGGCGGCCCTTGCCGCTGTCCAACAGCCCAGACTGGGTGTTACAGGGCAGAGGCAAAATTAAACAAAGGCTAAGGAGCCGGACCCTTAAGAGGCAGGACCTGCGACCCCACTGCTGGCAGCGGTGCCCCTTGCAGGGCGGCCTTGGGCTTCATGCGCCCCGGGCTGCCCCCAAGGACCGCCTGTCCGACTTCCTGCACGCGAGCCCCTGATCTGGAGCGTCTCCCCGAACCCAGACCGCTCAGGAGCCGGACCTCAGCAGCACTTTTGGCCAGGTCCAGGGTTGGCGCCCCCGACCCCAGCGCGGGCGGCTCGGGGCGCCCAGAACCACCAGCCATTGTCCTTTGGTGGCCCCCACTGGGGTCCACTCAGTTGGCCTCGGGCGCCGGCCGCTGCTGGGGACACCTGGGGGAACCGCCTCCCCCGCGGGCCGGGCCGGCGGAAGGCCGCGTGGGCGTGTGTTGGGCGATGGGGGCGGCCTCCAGCCGCCGCGTCGCCGCCTCCCCCACGGCCTGCCCGGGCAGAGGGGAGGGCCCGCTCACCTCGGTAGCGGCGGGAGGCGAGGTGGCACGCTGCGAGCAGCAGCACGGCCACCAGCGCCAGCACCTTGGCGCTCCTCACGCTGAAGTAGTGGTTGATCTCCCGCTTGCCCAGGTTGTAGGCCAGAGCCGCCATCTTGGTTCCTCCATGACAACAGTGCGCGGCGGAGCGGGAAAGGGGCGCCGCACAGGGGCAGCACTGGGGCTGCCGCCGCTGCAGCCAGGCGAGGAGCGGCCGCCAGCTCCCCAGGCCGCCACCTGCGCCTCCCGCCGGGGAACCTGACCCCGCGGCCGCGGCGCCCCCGACCTCCGCCTGCCCCTCCTCGGCCGCGGCCGACTCGGCGGCCTCCCCCCAGCCCCGCCGCCGCTGCTCCGCCGTGCCGGTTCCCCAGGCGCCCTGGACGCCTGTCTCCTCCCCTTCCTCCTCCTCTTTAGCCTCCTGCCTTAATAGCGGCTGCGCCTGCGAGGGGGGTCCGGATGCCCAGTGCTCCGGGGTCACCGGGTCACGCGCCCCGGCGGGCGGCGGCGGCTGCGGCAGAGCCATGGGGGTGTGGGGAGAGAGTACTAGGGGTACCCGCCTGGCCCGGACGCGAGCCTTAGGGCTGTCTCCTAGTTTACTGGCCGCTACCTGAGCCCAGGTTGGGGCAATAGAACTACAGTTCCGGGAGAAAAGTACACATCGTCCCATTCCTTCCTTCCCCAACACTCCCCTTTCTCAGCCTTCTACTGCCAGAACCCGCCCAGCGGGATGCGAAGGACACCCTAAGGTCGTTTATTGTCTGGCTATCCGTGGCCTGGCTGGTCAGTCTGGCTGCCCCTGGGTGCTGGCCAGATTGGATTGATGGATCCAGTTGATGGTGCTGGCCGATGGATTGCTGGCATCCAACCCAGGAGTGAAACCAGTCTTAACACTTAACTCACCGCTCTGGCCAGTTTCTCTTAAACCGTTTTTTTAATGTCCTCAGTTTGCCCAGTTCTGGTGGGCGAAAGTACACCAAAGTTCCGAATGGAAGGTACAGAAGGAGCCTAACTTAGTGTAGGTGTTGATGAGAAAAGAGTCTGACTCTCACTTGTATTTACGCAAGTTTGGCTAGGTCGATGTGCCAAAAAAATTCGTTTTTTTTGAGAGGGAGTCTCACCCTGTCGCCCAAGCTCTAGTGCAGTGGCGTGATCTTCGCTCACTGCAGCCTCCCCCTCCTGGGTTCAAATGGTTGTCCTGCCTGAGCCTGCCGAGTAGCAGAGATTGCAGGCGCCCGCCACCACACCCGTTTAATTTTTGTATTTTAATAGAGACGGGGGTTTCACCATTTTGGTCAGGCTGGTCTCGAACTCCTGACCTCAAATGATCTGCCCATCTCGGCCTCCCAAAGTGCTGGGATTACAGGCATGAGCCACCAAGCCTAGCCAAAAAAAATTTTTCTTAATGTGCTTATGACAATCATCCCCGCTACTAACGTTGGTTAATGTTTTGTGATTCTCAATAAAGCCAGCACTCCATTTCCTTAATAAAGCATTGTTATCCCTACTCTCCTCTCGCTCCCACCCCACCTTTTTTAAATGGTTTTTCTTGTTGCCTTCCAGATGGGAATGGTTATTTACATTGCTTGCCATTCTACTTGCCTTGCCTTGTTTAGAGTGAGTCATTGTTTAGTTGGGGTGTTGTCAAGTATTCTTTACAACTTTCCCATTTAGCCATTCCTGAACTTGTGCTTATAGGCCCCTCTTAAAATTATAGAATATTAGATATGAAGGGACTGTAGAGATCTTGTCTACTCATTCCCATTCTCTTCATCCAAGGACTCTTTATTATGTTTTCATCCATGGACTTTATATCTTGAAAGATTTTGTCACTTAAATGAAATCACATACATCACTGTCATGGATGTAATGCTAATAAGCAATAAAGTTAAATAAGTGTACAAACACTTAGGCACTGTTCCCTGCAAATAGTCTTTTAATTTTGGCTGTCATTCTGATCAGAGGTTGATCACATGTTGTAAGAATTGGGTATTGTAAAAACCAGATAACTCTGCCAACAATATATGGTCTGCCAATCACATCCTAGACATTTCTATGATGTCATTACCAGCAAATTAGAATTTCTGATCAGCATGCAATAACCAGTGTTAACCCAAAGGGTTGAGTTAATGCCTGCAAAAAGTAAAGAAACTTGACATTCTATTAATTGCAATTTCCAGAAGGCTTTCTTAAATACTGTAAATAGCTTGTGAACCTCCTTTTTCTTCTCTCAAGTTTAAGGCCAATCTCTCTACCTCTGCTCTGAATCTTTTCTTATCCTCCTTTCTTGAGGGTGTTGATTCCTCCATCAGTTATCCCCATGCAAATCATTCTTTTTCTGTGTCTTCCAATTCTCCCTATCACCTTGCTGTTTGCCTTCCTCCAAAAAAAATTTTTTTTTAATGAAAAACACCCATGGACTCTGTTCCTGCATGTTTACCTCATCAACTCTTTCCTCCTCTGGCAAACATCTAGAAAGAGCAGTGTTGACTCTCTGCCTTCACTGGCTCAATTAGCATTCTCTCTTCAGCCATTTCATTGTTCTTCACCAAGGCTGTGTGGTATGACTACTTGTTAAATCCAAGGGACACTTTATATTCCTTATCTTCCTGGACCATTTTGTGGCACCTGACATTGTTGACCATTCTTCCTTATTTGGTATCCATCTAAAACAGAGCGGAGACTTTGTTTTCAGCCACTTCTTGCTGTTTTTAAGTGACCTTAGGATCACTTAGTCATTATTTAGTGGTCCCACCACTGCCATGGGATCACCTTCCTTATACACACGCGCGCGCACACACACACACACACACCTGATATGTCAGTCCATATTTATCTATCCTCATGCTGTAAGAACCATCTGCCTACTAGGATATCCTTCAGGTACCTAATATATATCATTTCCTAAACAAACTCATCACCTTCCTTCTCCTTTATCTACTTTCAACCTTTATGCCTAAGTTTTCATCATTAACCCAGCCGTCCAAGCAAGTGTTTGAGTCATCCTTGCTTTCTTCTAAATAACTCTCAACTGTGTTGCCCCCTCTCTATCCACTTGCTGTTACCTTGGTTAAGGGATGATTTCTTGCCTGCATTTCTTATCCTTTTACTCGTCTTTCTCAGGTCACTCGAAAATCCAACCCTACTGCCATTCTGCCATACCTCTTACCAGACAGAACTTTCTTAAATTAAAATCTCGTAATGTCATTTCCTGCTAAAAACTAGTTAGTGGCTCCACGTTTATTTCCTGACCCCTGAGCTATCCAGAATGTTTACTAATGCTCAGCATGTTACCTCACACCTTAATAATATTTTAAAAAGAGAGAGACAGAAACCATCTGACAGAAACTCTCTCAACCTATGCATTATTTTTATTTTTATTTTTATTTTTTGAGATGGAGTCTCACTCTGTCGCCCAAGCTAGAGTGCAGTGGTGTGATCTTGGCTCACTGCAACCTCTGCCTCCCAGGTTCAAATGATTCTCCTGCCTGTCTCCCGAGTAGCTGGGACTACAGGTGTGCACCACCACGCCTGGCTAATTTTTGTATGTTTAGTAGAGACGGGGTTTTACCGTGCTGGCCAGGCTGGCCTCCAACTCCTGACCTTAGGTGATCCACACGCCTCGGCCTCCCAAAGTGCTGGGATTACAGGCATGAGCCACAAAGCCGGCCCTATGTATTACTCTAAAACAAACTGCTACACTTTATCTTTTCCCTTCTGATTCAAAGAAAAATTCCTCCTCCCCTTTCCCAAAACTGTCACTCTCACCTGTGTGTATGATTATACCAATATCATTTCATTGAGAATCTGGTCTCCTAAGTTCCCCTTCCTTATTTCTACCTTTAATTTATCTCTCTTCATTGTTTGCCAAATTCATCCTATCTTCCTTAATGCACCACACAATCTCTCTTTTTTCACCACCAAACTTCTGAAGGAACAGTTTGTGGTTACTTTCCCCATTAAAAAAATTGTTTTTACTATTTTTCAGTTCTTTACATGAAAACTAACTTATGTCCCTACTACTTTACTTACTTAAACCACTCTTTCAAATGAGGGCCACATCCTAAATTACCAAATTCAACATATTTATCTTAGCTTTATCCTTCTTGGCTGTGCAGCTTTCTTGAAATATTTGCTTTATTCAAATCTCTCCTCTTACCTTTCTCATGCATCTCCGAAGATTCCTCTTCCTTTCTCAAAGCCCCTTTTTAAAAGCGCTTTTCAGGTTTCTCATTTGCCTACTTCTCTTCTTAGCAAACCTAAATTGTAAGTTGGCCTCAACTATCACTCCTGATCCACACGTGCAACCTGGCTTCTCATGGTCCTCTCATTTTCATATACCTAAGGGACAGCTTCAATGACTCGCATAGTACCTCAGACTCAATATGTTGGAAAACAAGTTTTATTTTCCTTCTAAACCTTGTTTATCCTTTTAATTTTCCCTTTAGTTCATTGGCACACTATCCTTCAAGTCATTTCTGCTAATCTTTGACTCATCTTCTTTCTACTCTGCCTTCTACTCATCTAAAGTATAGGGTTTTGGCCAGGTGTGCAAGCCTGTAATCCCAGCTCTTTGGGAGGCCAAGATGGGTGAATCACTTGAGGTCAGGAGTTCAAGACCAGTCTGGCCAACATGGTGAAACCCCTTCTGTACTAAAAATACAAAAATTAGTCACCCATGGTGGCCTGCACCTGTAGTCCCGGCTACTCGGGAGGCTCAGTCATGAGAATCGCTTGAACCTGGGAGGCAGAGGTTGCAGTGAGCTGAGATCATGCCACTGTACTCCAGCCTGGGTGACAGAGTGAGACTCCATCTCAAAAAAAAAAAAAAAAAAAAAAAAAAACACAAAAACCCTTTATGCTGGGCATGCTGGCTCATGCCTGTAATCCCAGCATTTTGGGAGACCAAGGTGGGCAGAGTGCTTGAGCTCAAGAGTTCAAGACAGCCTGGGCAACATAGTGAAATGCTGTCTCTACAAAAAAGATAAAAATTAGCCAGGTGTAGTGGTGCATGCCTGTAGTCCCAGCTACTCAGAAGGCTGAGGTAGCAGGATCACCTGAGCACAGGAGGTCAAGGCTGCAGTGAGCCAAGATCACACCACTGCACTTCAGCCTGGGTGACAGAGTGAGACCCTGTCTCAGAAAAAAAAACAAAAACCAAAAAACTCAACTCTTTATTAGTTACATTATATGGTTAAAAAAAAGTATGTATGTATGTGTATATATATATATCATATGTATGATATATATCATGGCCACTTAAATCTGTAAGATATCAGAAAAAAGTAAAATTTCCAAAACTGTTTGAAATAAGAATTTATGGACCTTGCTGTAAATGTACAGTACTTTGAGAATTACTACTGATACAAAGCCATCAACATTAGCAAGACAGTTAGAAACTAAGCACCCAAAACGTGAATTAAATCTTTGCTCTTTGAGAGCAAAAAAAAGTTTGTGAGCATGTATGAATGTTTCAAATTACATGTATTATATTAGTACATTAGTAGAGCAGTATATAATTTATAACTAAATATGCAAAAGTTGGAGGAGTGCATGCTCCAATTTTTAACGAATGTGAACACACAGTCACAAAAATTGGAATGACTTATCTAATGAATCAACATATCCTATTCACTCTGACTTCCCCAAAGCTTTTCTTTTCCTCTCCAGAATGCTCTGGTTCAGGCTGTATCCTGACCATTGCAACAGGCTCTACTGGATTCCTTGCCTCTGGTTTCTCACTTTTCAATCTCTTTTTTTCCAATTGCTGCTAGAATTTTTTTGTCTAAGACTTATATTTGATCTTGTCATGCACCTGCTCAAAATCTTTGGTGGTTCTTTATTGGAACAAAATGAATAACAAACCTGTCAACATGTTTAAGATTGTCCGTGATTTGCCCTAAATCTCCCTTTCTCTCTTAGCTCTGATTTCATCAAACCATGCTAAACTACAAGCCAGGAATATTATATATGTGGCTTTTCTCTTACTATTCCCTTAAGTTGAAATATTTCCCCCCCACCCACATCTTATATTCTACTTATTTAAAATCTTTCTCTTTTAAAGACCTGCTACATTTTGCTTTTTCCATGAACTTGTGCCATACCTCCTTATGGGAATATAAATCTTTTCCTTTTTTCATTTCTCATAGCATTTTGTTTCTATATATGCTTAAGTATGCCTTCAACACAGGCACCATCCAATCAGAACAGATATCTTCATTACTTGTGCATATTGTGTGTAATTGGGAAATTATCAGTTCTGTCTTTTGGCATATATCCCACTGAACCTTATAAACTATTCAGTTATTGCATTTATTTTCCTTTTTCCTCATCCCCCTCCCTCCAGACTTATACACTGGGGCACAGGGACTTAGTCCTTGTTATATGTAGGGAAAACATGTGAAAAACTTAGAAATTGAGAAAAAAATATGGTTGTCATCAGTGGAAAATTAGGCATTGTCCAGATTATCTGATTCTATTGGGGGTTTGTATATCTTGTCTTTATTTTACATTGCTATAAAATAACTATAGTACATAATTATACTATATTATCTAATACTTGTAGTAACAGTCAGTTGACTATTGCCCTCTGGATATTGAACAGATTTCAAATTTTACATCTATTAAGCAAATTTATTTCACAATTTCTGCTGACCTATATAAGTGTGGTTCTTTGAATTTTTCTTTAAACCAGTTGTTACATCTTACTGGTTCCCTAATATAATTAATGAGCTAAATAAATAAAAGTTTCGACACATGTTCACTTTATATCTGTTTGAAAGTCATAATATTTTCTTTTAAAAATTATCTTTTAATACGAGTGTCCCACTCCCTGCGCCATGGACCAGTACCAGTCTGTGAGCTGTTAGGAACGAGGCTGCACAGCAGGAGGTGAACAGCTGGTGAAGGAGCATTACCACCTGAGCTCCGCCTCCTGTCATATCAGTGGAGGCATCAGATTCTCATAGGAGCACGAATCCTATTGTGAACTGTGCATGGGAAAGATCTAGGTTGCGTGTTTCTTATGAGAATCTAACTAATACCTGGTGATCTGAGGTGAAATATTTTCATCCAGAAACCATCCGCCCTGCCCATCCGGTCCATGGAAAAATTGTCTTCCACGAAATTGGTTTCTGATGCCAAAAAAGGTTGGGGATCACTGCCTTGAATTTAGTAAATATTAATATTTCTTTTTTTTTTTGAGACAATCTTGCTCTGTTGCGCAGGCTGGAATGCAGTGATGTGATCACAGCTCACTGCAGCCTCGAACTCCTGGGCTCAAGTGATCCGCCAACCTCAGCATCCCCACTAGCTGGGATCACAGGCACAGGACACCATGCCCAGCTAATTTTTGTATTTTTTGTAGTGACAGGGTTTCATCATGTTGCCCACTCTGGTCTTGAACTCCTGGGCTCAAACGACCCTCCTGCCTCAGCCTCCCAAAGTGCTGGGATTACCCGAGTGAGCCACAGCACCTGGCATGATATTTCTTAAATACAGTTTAAAGATAATTTAATGAAGAATATTGGAGGAAATTTAGACACTTTTCATGTAAACATTTTTAAGATTATGAGGTAAAGAAAGATTTTCCAAGCTAAATTTTTGTTTGCCTAGATGAGAGAACAATTTCCTCTGGAAGACTAAAAAAGACATTTTTAATTAAAAAATTATTATTTTATTTAAAAATGTTTTAAATTCAGCAGGTATATGTTCAGTTTTGTTACGTAGACATATTGCATGATGCTGAGGTTTGGGCTTTGATTGAACTCATCACCCAAATAGTAAACATAGTAACCAATGGGTAGTTTTTCCATCCTTCACCTGGCTTTTGGAGTCCCCAGTGTCTATTGTTCCCATCATAATGTCCATGTATACCCACTGTTTAGCTCCCACTTATAAGTGAGAACATGCAGTATTTGGTTTTCTGTTTCATTTAGCATATTGGCCTCTAGTTGCACCCATGTTGTTGCAAAGGACATGATTTTGTTCTTTCTCATGGCTGTGTAGTATTTCATGGTATATATGTATCACATTTTCATTATTCATCCACCATTGATGGGCATCTATGTTGATTCCATGTCTTTGAATAGTGCTGTGATAAATAAGTGAGTGCAGGTGTCTTTTTGGTAGAATGATTTACTTTCCTTTGGGTGTATACCCAGTAATGGAATCGGTGAGTTGAATGATAATCCTATTTTTAGTTCTTTGAGAAATCTCAAAACTGCTTTCCACAGGGGCTGGACTAATTTACAATCCCACTAACAGTACTTGCATGTTCCCTTTTCTCTGCAACCTCACCAGTATCTGTTATTTTTTTACTTTTTAGTAGTAGCCATTTTGACTGGTGTGAGCTGATATCTCATTGTGGTTTTGATTTGCATTTCTCTGATAATTAGTAATGTCGAGCATGTTTTATAGGTTTGTTGGCTGCTTTTATGTCTTTTGAGAAGTGTCTATTTATGTTCTTTGCCCACTCTTTAGTGGGTTTTTTTTCTTGTTTATTTGTTTAAGTTCCTTATAGATTCTTGATGTTAGTCCTTTGTCAGATGCATAGTTTGCAAATATTTTCTCCCATTCTGTAGGTTGCTTGTTTACTCTGTTGCTACTTTCTTTTGCTGTGCAGAAGCTCTTTAATTAGGTACCACTTAATTTTGGTTTTTGTTGCATTTGCTTTTAAGGACTTAGTCATAAATTATTTGCCTGGGTCAATGTCCAGAAGAGTATTTTCTAGGTTTTCTTCTAGGATTTCTATAGGCCGAGGACTTACATTTAAGTCTTCAATCCATCTTGAGCTAATTTTTGTGTATGGTGAGAAGTAGGGTTTGAGTTTAATTCTTCTGCATATGGTTAGCAAGTTTCCCCAGCAACATTTATTGAATACGGTGTTCCTTCCCTATAGTTTATTTTCATTGACTTTTTCGAAGATCAGTAGGTTGTACATGTGCAGCTTTATTTCTGGCTTCTCTATTCTGTTTTATTTGCCTAGGTGTCTGGTTTTGTACCAGTACCATGCTGTTTTGGTTATTACGGCCTTGTGGTATAGCTTGAAGTTGGGTAATGAGATGCCTCTGGCTTTGTTCTTTTTGCTTAGAATTGCTTTGGCTATTCAGGCTTTTTTTTTTTTTTTTGGTTTCATATGAATTTTAGAATAGTTTTTTCTAATTCTGTGAAGAATGACATTGGTAATTTGATAAGAATTGCATTGAATCCAGTGATTGCTTTGGGCAGTATGGACATTTTAGCAATATTCATTCTTCTGATCATGAGCATGAAATGTTTTTCCATTTGTTTGTATTATCTATTATTTCTTTCAGCAATGTTTTGTAGTTCTCATTGTAGAGTTCTTTCACCTCCTTGGTTAGATGTATTCCTAGGTATTTTATTCTTTTTGTGGCTATTGCAAATGGAATTGTGTTCTTAATTTGGTTCTCAGTTTGAATGTTATTGGTATATAGAAATGCTACTGATTTTTTGTGCATTGATTTTGTATCCTGAAACTTTAATGAAGTCATTTGTCAGGTTCAGGAGTTTTTTGGTAGAATCGTTAGGGTTTTCTAGGTATAGAATCATATCATCAGAAAAGAGAGATAACTCCCTCTTTTCCTATTTGGATTTCTTGAAAAAGACTTATTTTTGGCACAATGAATTTGAACATCAGCCTTTAGATCCTTCAATCAAGTTGAGTATCCCCTACCAAAATAAAACAGAAATAAAACCCAAATATCCAATTTGTATTTATTCAGTTACTTAAAAACTGATACAAGAGAATAAACATGAAGAAATCCTAAAGTATTAGTCAATTATTTTGTTTGTAGTTTTTTCATTCTGGAAGTTTTCACAGTGAAAAAAATGATTCCGAAATCTTCTCCATAATCATTTGGAAGTTGTATAAAGTAAAAGTTTTATACATGGTATAGTAGTCTTCAATATAATTAACACATCCCAAATTCACCCCAAATTCACACATGTCCTATTTGTCTTCAGATTGGAAGCACTTGAGATTCAACCTTAGGTCTACTGGTTCTTTCTGTTTAAATTCTCTTCCTGTAACAAATATGTTCTGTTTTTCCCACCTTTTTAGCTTCTCTTCTATCTTGTTTCCTTCTGCTACCAATTGTAGTGTTTACCAAATATTTGTACTTCTGAGAAAACTCTTCACTCCTTACCTTGGTGGCTTCATTTGTTTTAATAGCTTGGGCAAAGGTGGAAGCAGAGGAAATGAGGGAAAAGTGGACAGATTGGATTTTAGAAGTAAAATTGACATAACTTGCTGATGGATTGCATGTGATGGATTAGAGAGAGGGAGAATCAAAGGTGATTTCTTTTTCTGGCTTAAACAATGGCTTCAGAGACTACTTACTAACGGGAAAGACTGAAGTAGGAACAACCTTAGGAATGATTATCAGAATATTTCTTCAGTTAATTCTTATTTACATTATATAGTATGTTTAAAAGTTAAAACCCAGAAAATATAATACATATTAAATTTTCATATATGAAACTCTGCCCTACCCCACCACTCTTAATACTTTTTTTCCCGGGACAGAAATACGAAAAGTACATCTCCAACTCCATTCCCAAGTTGCATTTTTTTTCAAATGAAATCAACAGTTTTCACCAATGAGTTTTAAAAAAATTGAGTGAGTGGGGATGGAATGGTAGTGTAACAATTGAATTTTGTCTTGGGTCTTTCTAAAAAACTAAGACCAATCTTCCTTTCTGTAGAATAGTTAGTTTAAATTAGCTAAAATTCAGTTCACTGGTTTTTCAAAGGCATGGAAGGGGTCCCTTTGGGATGATAAATATGAATATCTCCTATTGTTTCTAAAATAAAGGGTGTTAATCATTGATCAGGTCAAAGAGGGGCAGTTGGAAGTGGAGAAAAAAACTAAATGACCTGCCTGGTTGCAAAGCCTCATGGCCCAAATGGTACTGACATTTTCACTAAGCAGGTTAAGAAAAAAAATAGAGGTTAATTAACTTAGTGGTGTTCAGCTGAAATGACCAACACTGCCGTAGGCCTAAGGTAAGCGTAATGCTGTTAGCAGCATCTTGGCCTTCCACTTTACATTGCATCACCTTTGAATGCCTGTAAACAAATTAGGATTGCTTTTTGTGTATGGCTGTGTAGCTCACAGGGATGTATGAAAATATATTAGGTAATGTCTGTAAAGCACTTTAAATGATTTATTCTTTAGCCAATTTTTCTTAAAGGATACTTTGTCTCTCACACTTCTAATTGCTATCTAGCTAGATGATAAAGAACAATTTTCAACTAAACACTTAGTGGGTTGTAGCAGATGACTCATAGATCTTTTACTCTATGCACACAGAACATATACTTACATTTCCCATCATGAAATTTTGTATTTTCTAACTAGTATATTTTTTGTTGACATTTAGATATCATTTTCAGTTTGGAGAAGTGGCAGGTATAACTTTGTGGTCGTTAGAAAAAAGGTTTTTCTACGGGGGTAGAATAATATGGCTAAAAGAGTGTAGGTTTTGGAAGAAGAACATTTGGGATTTGACATTTGGCTCTACCATTTACTAGCTAAATAATGTGGCAAATCATTTTATCTGTTGAACTTCAACCTTCTGTAAAATGAAGATAATCACACTTATCACTCAAAGTTGTTTCTGTGACTCAATGAGTAATGTATAGTTCTTGACATCTAGGTGATGCTCAATAAAAAATTCTTTCCTCCTTCAAACTTCATTGTCACTGGTAAATGCACAAGCAGTCCCTGTTAAATCTGTTCTCCTCCTGGCTGTATCTAAAAGTAAACACATGTGTCAGAGACCAGATATTTAATTAACAGAAAATAGCCAAGTCAAATTCAGATACATTCCCTTAGATAATTAAATAATCCTTGGTTAAGCCTGTTTAAAAAAAAAAAAAACACTATGACATTGAAGTTTCCTCCTTTTTGCCAAGCTACCTTTTTGCCTTATTTCCAAGTTTTAAATACGTTTATTTAACAGCCTCTTTTTGTGATCATAAATAACCTCTGGAGATTATTCTTGATCACTCACATATAAAGCTAGTTTCATATTTTGTCATGATAGTTCACATAGTTCACATAGCAAGAGGTATTAACTAACTGTATATACTTCCTTGAACATTCAGTATTGAGCAACTACAGAGGCCAAATAATTAAATTCTGTCAGGTAATTTCATTAGGGAATATAGGATTCAATTCTTTAAAAGCCTGTTATTTTTTTCTTCTATCCCAAGACTACAAAACCAAGCCCCAAAATTCTATCCACCAAGATTACACTGTCATTTCTAATAGATTCTGGTGAATTTCTTTCGACTTGAAGTCTCCAAATACTCTTGAGGTCCCTGGCTGACTAGTAAGTGATACTGCTCATCACTTGTGAGGCTTTAACCATAAACCAGGTTGATTTTTTTTTTTCGAGTGGGAGTGGGAAGTGAAATTTGTGGTCATTGTTTTCACATCTTGCTCCTTAATGATGAGCTTTCCATATTTGATTAAATGTCATTTTGATACGGACAGGAGGCAGGGAAATACTGAGTAGAAGATGGTGGTTCCCTGGCAAAGGCTCCACCTGGAAACTGCCACCCTAAATAAGAATAGTTATTGCTGTTTTCCTGCCCGAACATTGCTTTTTCCAAACCACCCTGGCCTGCCATGCCCCCATCCTGTGTACCCATAAAAACCCCAAACTCCTCTGGCAAAGGAGCAGAGCAGCACAGCAGAGAAGGAGAGAAGAAAAGAAGCATCTGAATATCAAAGAGGCAGCTGGACGGTCAGAGAGGAGTTTGGCTGGGGGTGGCCAAACTCAAGGGAAGATTGTCTTCCCACTCCATCCCCTTTCCAGCTCCCTATCCCACTGAGAGCCACCTCCATCAATCAGTAAAACCTCTGCATTCACCATCATTCAAGTCTGTGTGACCTGTCTTCCTGGATGCCGGGACAAGGACCCCAGGTACCAAGAGAGCAGGTTATAAAAAGCTGTTGCCACAACTCTCCACTGAGCTGGTTAACACTTAGCTGTCCATGGATGGCAACTGCTAAAAGAGCATTAATTGTAACACATCCCTAGATGCTACCATGGGGCTGGAGCCCAAAAACACTCACCCAGGCCCCGGCACCCGCTTGCCTGCATGCTCCCACTCCTGCGTGGGGTTTGTGTGGTGGCTGAGTAAATGAGCCACACCCATGTCACCTGAGAAGGGGTCCGAAGAACTCTCCCATCTCAATTTATTCTCAAATGTGACTCCAGGCTGGGCTTTGTATGATGAGGTCAAAATTGAAGACAGTAAAATTCTCTGTTGAGGTGCAATACATAATTATTATTTTTGTTTTTGTGAGACCGAGTTTCACTCTTTTTGCCCAGGCTGGAGTGCAATGGCATGATCTCGGCTCACTGCAACCTCCACCTCCCGGGTTCAAGTGATTCTACTGCCTCAGCCTCCCGAGTAGCTGGGATTACAGACATGCACCACCACGCCTGGCTAATTTTGTATTTTTAGTAGGGAAGGGGTTTCACCATGTTGGCCAGGCCGGTCTCAAATTCCTGACTTCTGGTGATCCGGCCGCCTCAGCCTTCCAAAGTGCTGGGATTACAGTCGTGAACCACTGCACCCAGCCGCAATACATAATTTTTTAATAAGAATTTGATCAGTGTTTTTCTTATAAGTAAAACAATACTATGAACAGTGAGAGCACAGACAAATATCCAGGGCCTTCCAATTTATTCTGTAATGTGTACAGTCTCAGAAATAAATGTGTGAGTAATATTTTGTTTATAAAATTTATCCTTTAGATGAGTCCATGTCCTTTGCAGGCACATGGATGAAGCTGGAAACCATCATTCTCAGCAAACTATCACAAGAACAGAAAACCAAACACTGCATGTTCTCACTCATGAGTGGAAGTTGAACAATGAGAACACATGGACATAGGGAGGGGAACATCACACACTGGGGCCCATCGGCGGGGTGGGGAGCTAGGGGAGGGGTAACATTAGGAGAAATACCTAATGTAGGTGATGTGTTGATGGGTGCAGCAAACCACCATGGCACGTGTATACCTACGTAACAAAACTGCACGTTCTGCACATGTACCTCAGAACATAAAGTATAATAAAACAATTTTTAAAAAATAAAATGTATCCTTTAATTTGACTACTATTTTGATCAATTCTTACAATAGTGTTGAACTAAGAAAAAAAGTCAAGGAAACAATTATTTGGTACATCTCTACTTTTGTAAAACAAAAGAAAAAAGCTTCATGATTTTCTAGGGGTCTTATGGGAAATTTCAAAGATAGTTTTATGTGTGAAGAAAATCCTCTAATTTTTATTTTTCCGAAGCTAGGATGTGATTGTGGGAAAGCAAAACCAAGAGTTATTGGAGTACTTTAGATCACCTATTAACATAGGGTCAGATGTGCCTGAGAAACAATAAATTCAATATCTGTTGATCAAAATGACAATACAATATTTTAAATAACAAGAATATGATGACACAAAAGAAAGGAGTCTTAGCTTTTCAGCAAATGAAGAACTTTAAGTTTTTGCTGCTTAAAAATCAAGGGCTTGAAAATATGACCATAAAACACAGAAAACTGTTTTGATGGGATATGGAATTTCTGCTATGTTGTCAGGCCAGATAGAATGTAAAGGCATAAACTTTTACTACCCTTTGTTAAGAGCAGACCAAACAGTTTGAGATACACTGTTATTTTAGTACATAGAAAACCAAATTCTAGTTTTACATTAATATAGTAGTTAGCAGGAAAGGATTTATTAGCTCCTTGCTCTATTTTTTTTTAATGGAACACATCATGATTTTGTGTGTCATCCTTGTGCAGAGGCCATGCTAACCTTCTTGTATCATTCCAATGTTAGTGTACGTGCTGCCTAACTGAACAACCTGCCCTATTTCTGTTGTATTTTTTTGAGACAGGGTCTTGTTTTGTCACCCAGGCTGGAGTGCAGTGGCATGCTTATGGTTGGCTGCAGCCTCCGTCTCCTGGCCTGTCCTATTTAAAAAACAAAACAATCTTACAAATAAACTCATCAAAATTGAGGGAACGTTGCCAACATTTGAGTATATTTTATTGTTTCTTTTTCAACTCATTATTTGCAGTGAGGCAAATAAATTGTTTTCTACTTACAACTTTCTACATCTATTCAAGATTTGTTTTACACAATTCTTTTTCGCATTCTAGAAGAACCAAACCTTTTAGTTTAAGACAGAAAATATTTCCATTACCTCGCATTCATAGTCACAATTTTCTGCTACTATTGCTTTAGTATAGTCTTTGATTATTTGTATAAATTCTAACTTTCAGTCAAAGTAGCTGATTTCTATTTCACAGAGAAAACTAGAAGGGGATGTAGAAGTATCTATTATACACAGTTTAGCAAATTAACAAAACTAATGAAATCACCTCCTAGAGTCACCCACATCCATTTTTCACTCCTTTAAATCAGAGTAAACCCAATCATTAGTAAGGTAAACACAGTCATTAACATGAACAACAGATATATCCACTATAAGAAAAAAAGTGTATATATTCAAAATATGTAGGGTGACCAAATTTTAGTATTCTATTTCCCTTAAAAATTATCTAGGTGTCCAAGTTATCTATTAAATAACTTGATCTAAGAATAGACTCAGGTTTTAAAGTTAAATAAGGATCTTAGTTATGTTGACAAACTACAACTTACCGTATTCTAATTTAAGAATTTAGACCATTTGTATTCACATAGCTTAATGTGGGGACTTAGAACAGAGACTCCCCCACGTTAATTTGACTTACTTATTGTTTAAGAAATTCTTGCCCAGAAATATAAAGCTATAAACCAATATATAACTTTACTACTTGCTTCAGGAAATTCCTGAAAAGCAACTTGTCTATATAGTTTGTTCATCTGGCCAAGCAGTTCTTCTATCGGGATAATAGATTGCTTATCTGGCCAAATGGGCAGCTTATTAAAAAAATTACTTACGGGCCGGGCATGGTGGCTAATGCCTGCAATCCCAGCACTTTGGGAGGCTGAGGTGGGCGGATCACTTGAGGTCAGGAGTTCGATACCAGCCTGGCCAACGTGGCAAAAGCCTGCCTCTACTACAAATACAAAAATAAGGCTGGGCATGTTGGCTCACACCTGATCCAGCACTTTAGGAGGCCGAGGTGGGTGGATCATCTGAGGTCAGGAGTTTGAGACCAGCCTGGCCAACATGGTGAAACCCTGTCTCTACTAAAAACAAAAAACAACAAAACAAAGCAAACAAACAAAAAAACTCGCCAGGCGTGGTGGCAGGTGCCTGTAATCCCAGCTGCTCAGGAGGCTGAGGCAGGAGAATTGCTTGAACTCAGGAGGCAGAGGTTGCAGTGAGCTAAAATCTCACCATTGCACTCTACCCTGGGCCACAAGAACAAAGCTCCAACTCAAAAAAAAAAAAAAAAAATTAGCCAGGTGTGGTGGCAGGTGCCTGGAATCTCAGCTACTTGGGAGGCTGAGGCAGGAAAATTACTTCTTGAATCCAGGAGGTGGAGGGTGCAGTGAGCCGAGATCATACTACTGTACTCCAGCCTGGGCAAAAGAGCAAGACTTTGTCTCAAAAAAAAAAAAAAAAGAAAAAGAAAAGAAAAGAAAAAGAAAAATTACTTATCAAGGCTTATGTCAAGAAGTTGGCCTTTCTGGGTCTCCTAATCCTAAACTGTAAGTCATGAACTGTCCTCCAGTTCAGTTAGTTTCTTGTCTTGATAAACCTGACTTAAACAACTGAAGCCTAGATCCCTAAGCCTTATAAATATCCTCCTCTTACGTTCCCATTTTGAGATATTACTAGGATCTCTCAAGGTGGTATTCTCCCTTGCTGTAGCAGACTGAGCTTTGATTGATCAACAGAAACTGTAAGTTTATCAATGTTTTTGGTGTAAGGTTGAGAAATTTGTGGCAATATTGTTATGTGGCAATAGAAAACCAGTTCAACCCCATCAGTAAAATTAGGGAAGAGTCATATAGCTGTTTTCAAATCAAAAGTTACCAAACAAGCCTAATCTGTAAAAGATTCACCTTTATTTTATTTTTTTCTCATAAAATATATGACTCAAAAGATTCACCTTTATAATATGAACTCATGTTTTCATACAAACCTGCTTCTGATCTTGAGATTTCCATAATAATTTTTAAGCCTAGTTTTAAAAGAACAATTTATTTCCTGAGAAATTTGTGAATGCCAGTTATAGAAGTGCTTATTTTTCTCTATGAACCAATTAGAGAGAAGCTATTTAAATTTCAGAGACTTTATAATTTAATTTATTTACATACATGAGGTGGAAAAATGTCAAACTCACGCAATGAAAGGTAAAGGTTTTTCACAATTACAGATAGACTTACTGAGACTGAGAACTTGAAGTTTCAGTTCTACAGCCTCAATCATGAGTCAACAGTAAACACAGAACCATAAAAATCACTAGTGCAGATCTCAAAGGGACATTTTACTTTTAGTGAGCATATAATGTTTTCCTGATTGAGTTGAGCTCACAAATAGTCAAACAGACAAGTAAATAAAAAGAGGGCTAACAAACCGGTTTTTTTATTCTCTCTCACCCAACAGAAACTGATCCCCTTTATATCCTGAGAGAGGTCACTACATGATCACATCATAAAACCAGATTCCCAAATACTACCCAAATACTACTTTTTTTTTTTTTTGAGACAGAGTTTCGCTCTTGTTGCCCAGGCTGGAGTGCAATGGCTTGATCTCAGCTTGCTGCAACCTCCGCCTCCTGGGTTCAAGCAATTTTCCTGCCTCAGCCTCCTGAGTAGCTAGGATTACAGGCACCTGCCAGCACACCTAATTTTTGTATATATATATATATTTTTTTTTTTTTTTTTTTTTTTTTTTTTTTTAGTAGAGACAGCTTTCACCATATTGGCCAGGCTGGTATTGAACTCCTGAACTCAGGTGATCCATCCACCTCAGCCTCCCAAAGTGCTGGGATTACAGGTGTGAGCCACCACGCCCACCCCACAAATATGACTCTTATGAATGAAGAACAACTTGTTGACTATGTACAGTCAGACTTAGATATACATGAGATGCTTTTTTGACTATGAAATCAATCGTCGATGTACCCACTTGTCCCCAGGTCTGGCTGGGGACAAGAGTTAGACAAGACATCAAGAGTTAGCTAAGAGCCAGAAAAAAGAAACAAAAACTCCCATGGTATACTTAGAGAATGATGATTTAGGCTTATTTATTTATTTATTTATTTATTTATTTAAATAGGCTTTTGGGGAACAGGTGGTGTTTAGTTACATGAATAAGTCCTTTAGTGATGACTTCTGAGATTTTGGTACACCCAACACCGAAGTAATGTACACTGTACGCAATGTGTAGTCTTTTATCCCTCACCTCCCTCCCACTCTTTCCCCTGAGTCCCCAAAGTCCATTAAATCATTTTTATGCCTTTGCATCCTCACAGCTTAGCTCTCACTTATGAGTGAGAACATACAACGTTTGGTTTTCCTTTCCTGTTTTTTTTCACTTAGAATTTCATCCAGATTGCTACAAATGCCATGATTTTGTTCCTTTTCATGGCTAAGTAGTATTCCATGGTATACATATACCACATTTTCTTTATCTACTTATTGATTAATGGGCATTTGGGCTGGCTTCATATTTTTGCAATTATGAATTGTGTTTCTATAAACATGCACGTGCAAGAATCTTTTTCATACAGTGACTTCTTTTCCTTCGATAGATACCCAAAAGTGGGATTGCTGGATCCAAGGGTAGATTTACTTTTAGTTCTTTAAGGAATCTCCACACTGTTTTCCATAGTGGTTGTACTAGTTTACACTCCCATCAACAGTATAAAAGTGTTCCCTTTTCAGCGGAGGTTGCAGTGAGCCGAGATAGTGCCACTGCACTCCAGCCTGGCAACAGAGCGAGACTCCATCTCAAAAAAATAATAATAATAAATAATAGATGCCCACATCTATTATTTTTTATTGTTTGATTATGACCATTCTTGCAGGAGTAAGGTGGTATCACACAGTGGTTTTCATTTGCATTTCTCTGATAATTAGTGATGTCGAGGATTTTTTCATGTTTCTTGGCCTGATATAGGCTGTTTTAGTATCAAAGAGTTTACATGAGCAGTAGGATGGCCAAAGGGGCCATATTACTGATGATCTTGAATGTTTAGAAGTGACAGCAAATCACTTTTTAATATGTTAAAATAAATTTTTCATGAAAGATAAAATCATAACTTTTATATTAATATAAAAATAAACATGTTAAATATTTGTTTAACTCAAGAGGAAACAGGTGAGGTGTTACAACGAAGTCAAGGAGGAATTTTTAAAAATTATAAATCAAGAATATTTAAATAAATGTGCTAATGAAGGTAAGACTGGCTTCATGGGGACAGGTGGGAAAGGAGGCAAGCCAGTTGACTCTTCACCAGAGAGAATTTACACTTCATAGACAATAATTATTGTACATTGCTATCAGTTATCTACAATATACAGAGTTGTAAATAGCTCAAGCACAATGAAGGACAAGAATCAGATGCCTGGAAGTTTATGATCTAAATAATACATACTTTTTTACATTGAAGCACAATTCTTTCCCTACAATAACCTCAACTGGCTTGATGATGGGAAAGCAGTAAGACACATTTGAAAACTACCTTAGGGGAAAAAACTACACAAATTCATGGTTTCTTGGATGTAATAAATGATTAGGAAATAGGATTCAGAGGTCATTCATTACAAGTGTGGCAATTGCCTACTTGTTTGGTGGATTGCTTCATGGGAGCTAGGATAATGACTTATAATGTTGGGGACAATAATTGGAAGCGGAATAAAACATTTTAGAAAGTAATCATTTTGTTAACTCAAGTTCTATGACATTGAAATAGAGTTCCCTTTTATTCAACATTGTATTGAAGTCCTAGATAAAATGGAAAAAGTCAAATTATCCTTGTTTGCAGATGATAATGATCTTATATTTGGAAAAATCAAAAGACTTTACAAAAAACTATTAGAACTGATAAATTCAGTAAAGTTGCAGGATACAAAATCAACATACAAAAATCAGTAGTTGGCCAGGCGTGGTGGCTCATGCCTGTAATCCCAGTGCTTTGGGAGGCCAAGGTGGGTGGATCACCTGAGGTCAGAAGTTCAAGACCAGCCTGGCCAACATGGTGAAACCCTGTCTCTACTAAAAATACAAAAATAAGGGCCAGGCGCGGTGGCTTGTGCCTGTAATCCTGGCACTTTGGGAGGCCGAGGTGGGCAGATCACCTGAGGACAGGAGTTCAAGACCAGCCTGGTCAACATGGTGAAACCCTGTCTCTACTAAAAATACAAAAAATTAGCCAGGTGTGGTGGCACGCACCTGTAATCTCAGCTACTGGTGAGGCTGAGGAAGGAGAATCGCTTGAAGCTGGGAGGTGGAGGTTGCAGTGAGCTGAGATTGCACCACTGCACTCCAGTCTGGGTGACAGAGCTAGACTTTATCTAAAAAACAAACAAAAAAAAATAGCATTTTTATATGCCAAAAGCAAACAATCTGATAAATAAATCAAGAGATTAACACCATTTACAATACCTACAAATAAAATAAAATACCTATGAATAAAATTAACTGAAGAAGAGAAAGATCTCTCCAACGAAAACTATAAAACATCGGTGCAAGAAATTGAAGAGGACATGAAAAAATGAAAAGATATTCCATATTCATGAATTGGAAGAATCAATATTGTTATAATGTCCATGCTATCCAAAGCAATCTACAAATTCAATGCAATCTCTATCAAAATATCAATGGCATTTTTCAAAGAAATAGAAAAAATAATCCTAAAATTTATATGGAACCACAACCCAGAACAGCCAAAGCCATCTTGAGCAAAAAGAACAAAATTGGAGGAATCACATTACCTGACTTCAAATTATGCTACTGAGCTATTGTAACCAAAACAACAGTGTACTGGCTAAAAACAGACCCACAGACCAATGGCACAGAAGAGCAAACACAGAAATAATTCCTTACATCTACAGCAAACCCATTCTTGACAAAGTTGCCAAGAGCATACATTGGGGAAAGGACAGTCTCTTCAATAAATTGTGCTGAGAAAACTGGATATCCACATGCAGAAGAATGAAACTAGACCCCTATATCATATGAAACTATACCATATACAAGCATCAAATCAAAATGGATTAAAGACTTAAATCTAAGACCTCATGCTATAAAACTATTAAAGGAAAACATTGGAGAAACTCTCTGGGAAGTTGGTTTGGGCAAAGATTTCTTGAGTAATTCCCCAAAAGCACAGGCAACTCAAGCAACAATGGACAAATGAGATCACTAAAAAGCTCTTGCACAGCAAAGTAATCAATGAAGTGAAGAGACAACCCACTTTGTGGGACAGAATATTTGCACACTATCCATCTGGCAAGAAATTAGTAACCAGAATATATAAGGAGCTCAAACAACTCAATAGAAAAACATCTAATAAACTAAGTTAAAAACGGGCAAAAAACTGAATAGATATTTCTCAAAAGAAGATATACAAATGACAGGCCAGGTGTGGTGGCTCACGCCTGTAATCCCAGCACTTTGGGGGGCGGAGGTGGGTGGATCACCAGGTCAGGAGATCGAGGCCATCCTGGCTAACATGGCGAAACCCTGACTCTACTAAAAATACAAAAAAAAGTTAGCTGGGCGTGGTGGTGGGCGCCTGTAGTCCCAGCTACTCGGGAGGCTGAGGCAGGAGAATGGCGCGAACCTGGGAGGCGGAGCTTGCAGTGAGCCGAGATCACGCCACTGCACTCGAGCCTGGGTGACAGAGAGAGACTCCGTCTCAGAAACAAACAAACAAAAAAGAAGATATACAAATGGCAAACAGGTATATGAAAAGATGCTCAACATCGTTGATCATCAAAGAAATGCAAATCAAAACTACAATGAGATATCATCATACCCCAGTTAAAATGGCTTTTATCCAAAAAGACAGACAATAGCAAATGCTGGCAAGGATGTGGAGAAAAGGTAATCCCTGTATACTGTTGGTGGGAATGCAAATTAGTATAGCCACTAAGGAGAACAGTATGGAGGTTCCTCAAAAAAACTAAAAATTGAACTATAATATGATCCAGTAATCCCACTGCTAGCATATCCCCAAAAGAAAGGAAATCAGTATACGGAAGAGTTATCTCCATGTTTTTTGAGATATCCCATGTTTTTTTGCAATACTATTCACAATAGCCAAGATTTGGAAGCAACCTAAGTGTCCATCAAGAGATGAATGAGGCCGGGCGTGGTGGTTCATGCCTGTAACCCCAACAATTTAGGAGGCTGAGGCAGGCGGACAACCTGAGGTCAGGAGTTTGAGACCAGCCTGGCCAACATGGTGAAACTCTGTCTCTACTAAAAATACAAAAAGAAAAATTAACCAGGCATGGTGGCAGGCACCTGTAATCCCTGCTACTTGGGAGGCTGAGGCAGGAGAATCACTTGAACCCGGGAGGCGGATTTTGCAGTAAGCCAAGATCGCACCATTGCACTCCAGCCTGGGCAACAAGAGCGAAACTCCATCTCAAAAAAAATAAAAAAAATAAAAAAAAAGATGACTGAATAAAGAAAAGGTAGTACATATACACAATGGAGTAATATTCAGCCATTAAAAATAATTAAATCCTGTCATTTGGAATAACATGAATGGAACAGGAGGACATGTTAAGTGAAATAAACCAGGAACAGAAAGACAAACTTCTTATGTTCTCATCCATCTGTGGGAGCTAAAGATTAAAACAACTGAACTCATGGAGATAGAAAGTAGAATGATGATTACCAGAGGCTGGGAAGGGTAGTTGGGTGGTGGTGATGGTGGGGACCTGGGGATGGTTAATGGGTACAAAAGTAGAGTTAGATAGAATGAATAAGAGCTAGTATGCACAACAGAGTGATTATGGTCAACAATAATTTATTGTACATTTTAAAATAACTAAAGGAGTATAATTAAAATGCACATAATACAAAGAAATTATAAATGCTTAAGGTGATGGATACCCCATTTACCTTGATGCAATTATCACACATTGTATGCCTGCGTCAAAATATCTCATGTACCCCATAAATATATGCACCATGTACCCATAAAAATTAAAAATAAAAACAATAAAAAATGAAAGAAATTGTTGCAATTCTCAAGAAGTGGGAGCCAGAAAAACCAATATAAAGAGAAAAATTGCTATAATAGAGTAGGTGTAATGGCATTTTAGGGAAAGAAAACCTACTTAAGGAAGTTGAGGATGGCATCACAGAGGAGACAGATCTTGAGAGGACACTTGGAGGATTTGTAGGTGTTTGTCAGGCAAATTAGAAGAAAAGAGGCAATGCAACATGCACAAACAAAGGCAGAAACAAATGTGAAACTGTATCTTATGCTTGAGATTCAGAAACTAGAAAATATTAAAATTTCTGAAGTATAAGGCGTCACGAGTAGTAAAGATAAGGATTACAAGAGGTAAAAATGGACAGGTAATTAAAGGGTCTTCTAAGCCATACAAAAGAATTTTAAATTTTATTCTGTAGCTAATGGAAAGCTACTGAGCAATGTTGAGAAGGGAAGTAATCTGATAAGATCTGCATCTTAGAAGGCGGCATGGGTAATAGATGGGTTTTTCAGGAAGGTTTATATAAGATAAACATCAAAAAGATCACTGAGAGAGTTTCAAAGCTAGCCCATTGCTCAACCTAGGCCAACGGTCATGACTATGGAAAGAAGAAATTTTGAAACATACTTAAGACATGGACTGATAGAACTTGGTGATCATTGAAAATGGAGAACAAAGAAGAGAAAGAGATGACTCAGATTTTTCTCAGATATTTTCGTCTTGGGCAACAGCAAGTGGATGTTGTCTCCTAGATGCTATCTAGATGCTATCTAGAATTGGTTATTCAGGTGAGAAGCCTAGGTTTGGGCTAAAAATGATAAATTTGGGTATCATGGCCATAAGTTAAAAGTATGGCTAAAGATAAGTCTTCCCATAAAGAGGATAACATAAGAAAAAGATGAGAGAAAAGGAGAAGGAATCATAGGAGAGGAGTAGAGAAGGGAATATAGACGAGGAGGGGGCTGAGAATATCAGAAGTTAATAACTCATTTTAAAAACTGGAGAAATTAGACCAGATGTGGTGGCTCACGCCTGTAATCCCAGCACTTTGGGAGGCCGAGGTTGGCGGATCACCTGAGGTCAGGGACCAGACTGGCTAACATGGTGAAACCCCATCTCTACTAAAAATACAAAAATTAGCTCGGTGTGGTGGCATGTGCCTGTAGTCTCAGCTACTTGGAAGGCTGAGGCAGGAGAATCTCTTAAACCCAGGCAGCAGAGGCTGAAGTGAGCCTAGACTGCACCACTGCACTCCAGCCTGGGTGAGACAGCAAAACTCCATCTCAAAAAAAAAAAAAAAAAAAAAAAAAAAAATCAGAGAAATTTATAGCAAAATCAGGAATGTGAAATTGTAAGGGGAAAAAGGGGATAAGATGTACAAAGGATGAGGATTCAGCATTATTTTATGCCTGAAAGAGGTCAAGTTAGATAAGAACTAGAACAAACCATTGGATTTGTTAACCGGGAGGACAATGATGACATTCATGAGAGTAGTATCGGAAAAATGTGGCAGTGGATTGAATGATAGCGGTGGAGGGTGTGGATGAAGAGAAATTATTCAATGGGTACAATATACGTTATTCCAGTGATGGATACCCCAAAAGCACTGACTTCACCACTCACAATCTATGCATGTAACAAAATTGCATTTATACCATATAAACTTATACCAAAAAAAAAAGTGGCAGAGGAAGTAAGATTGCATTGATTAGAATGACAAGATGTGAGGAGCAAACTAAGTATAGTTCTAACTTTAAAAGCTTGGTTATTAAAGAAAAGAGAAACACAAGGTCTGAGAAAGAAATAGGTGACATTTTAAATCAGTCTCTGGTAAAAATTATTAGTGCATTTTTTCCATGTCTTTGCTATTGTGAATAGTGCTGCAATGAAAGTATTTGTGCCTTTTTTTATTAGTGCATTTTTAGGTGGTAAAGTTAGCCTGAGCTTTTGAAGTAGGTAGATGATTTTCTGAATTATTGGTTATATTTAGAGAAGATGTTTAAATGTATGAGCTTCAGAAAAATGATAATAATAATTACATATTTAATTATAATGTCAAAAAGTATATAATAAAATGTTTATACCTGAGAAAAAAGAAAAATCGTCTCTTTTAGGGATTGCCATCCAATATTATTATCCATTATTATTAGCCCCTCCCTTTTAAGGCCATCTCAAATAATCACGCAATCTAAGTGAAAATAGTGTGCTGGATCTGACTTGGAGCCCTTGATTAAGTTCCTTGTTTTCCCTTTCAGAATTGACTCAGAATATACCATCTTTTTTTGATGCACTTGATCAGGAATTAATTATTCATGGATCCATAGAAAAATTTCAGAAGGAAATTTAGGAAAATCCTAAAGTGAACCAAGGGAGACATTGCTCCATATCTGTCTCTTTTCCTAGCATGAATTTGGTAGGAAAATATTCTGAGTTTGAAAAGAAAGTAGAAGAAGGGATTGAGGAAATGTTATCCTCTTCTAAAAAGTTTTGGTGAAAAGACAATTATGTGACCATGCATTCTTTTCATATTAAATATATAAACAATGCCAGATTCTTTATAGCAATATTACTGTTTGCTCAGCTTAAAGTATTTTTTGAAGCTCAGTTTTATATCAAAGGTCTATTCTAAACTGGTTAATCTGCTGTTCTGGCATCACAACATTTCAAAATTTCAGCTTAAATTAATATAATCTCCTCTGTTTACCCTATATGTGAATATGGGGTACAGTTTTTTGGATCTATGTTTAAAGGAAGAAAAGAAGGAGGAAGAAAGAAAAAAGGAGGGGAGAGAGGAAAAGAGAGAGGAACAAGGGATTATGGGATGGGAGGAAGAGAGGGAGAGAGAGAGGACAAGAAAGGGGAGAAGGAGGAGAGAACTGATGAGAATTAAAGAGGAGAGAGGAGAAGGAAAGAAAGGGAAAGGAAAAGCCACCATCACCACCACCATGCTGATTCTAGTTTCAGTTTGGTCACCAGCTTATTACAGAAGCATTAGTCTGATCTTTCCTGGTATCTCACTTGGTGAGGATCTTGACATCAAGTGCTTTGTGGGTACCATCAGGGCAACCACTGTTGAAGGATTAGAAGAAGCAAGCCGGAGTGGGATTGTCTGTGTCAGGAATCTCTCGGGGTCTTCTGAAGGACCAGCAGCTGGAGGCTTACTGCAAGAAAATATCAAAGGCCGGGTAGTCTTAGCCAGAGAAGCCTCAATAACCAAGAGAGAACCACCAAAAGGCAGCCACGTACATAGACCTCAGCTAATTTTCATAATTGTCTCTATTTTCCAGAAGCTGTAGTATTGGAAGGAATGGGGAAGAGATGTAATGAGGGATATTAGGAAGAAACATCTGAGAAAGAGAATAAAACTAGTTCAGCTTTAAAGATGAACTAGCCTGTAATTCCAGCACTTTGGGAGGCCAAGGCAGGCAGATCAGTTGAGCCCAGGAGTCTCCGACTAGCCTGGGCAACATGACAAAACCCAGTCTCTACAAAAAAAAGTACAGAAATTAGCCAGGCGTGGTGGTGCGTGTCTGTGGTCCCCATTACTCAGGAGGCTGAGGTGGGAGGATCACCTGAGCCTGGCAGGTCGAGGCTACAGTAAGCCATGATCATGCCACTGCACTCCAGCCTGGGCAACAGACTGAGACCCTGTCTCAAGAAAAAAATAAAATAAAATAAAAATGAACTTGAGTGGATTTTTGATAACAGAAAGTGACCCAACAGCTTTGAGAGCAGCCTGAGTTATTGTTAAGAGGCAGGAAAGGAAAATTGCACAGTGCAAGGCTAAAGGCAGTGATTGGAAAAAAATAAAACTGTTTCATGTTTGTTCCTCCATAGAGATCCAACTATAAATAAACTACAAATAAGGGGGATGATTTTGTTTGGTGGTAATGCTATGAAGCAGAATAATGAGTAGAAAGTAACTACGAAGAAGGGAGTAGTAGGAGGCTACATTTGCTCTGGTTGTCAGGAGGGCCTGTTTGGGTTGAGAGCTTCCATGATAAGAAACAGCCACTCATTCCAAACTCTGGAGCAAAAGCGTGAAACACGTAGGCCGGGCCGGGTGGCTCAAGCCTGTAATCCCAGCGCTTTGGGAGGCTGAGGCGGGCTTATCACTTGAGGTCAGGAGTTCAAGACCAGTCTAGCCATCATGGCAAAACCCCACCTCTACTAAAAACACAAAAATTAGCTTAGCGTGGTGGCACGTGCCTGTAATCCCAGCTACTCGGGAGACTGAGGCAGGAGAATAGCATGAACCCAGGAAGCAGAAGTTGCAGTGAGCCGAGATTATGCCACTGCACTCCAGCCTGGGCGACAGAAAGAGACTCTGTCCAAAAAAAAAAAAAAAAAAAGAAAGAAAAGAAAAAAAAAAGTGCAAAACACCCGAAGGTTACGGCTAAGAAAAACAGCCAGTGTTTGTGAGGTGAGGCGGGCGATGACAGAAGATACCTCCAGCAAAATGGGCAAAGGTCCACACCCTATGTGCCGTGGTAGAATATTTTGATTGCTATTTTGCTTTCCTCAAAAAAAATTTTAAGCATTTTCTTGGCCCTAGTATTCTTGTAGAAGACTCTGGATTTGTTAACTTAATTTTATTTAATGGATCATACATTCATACAATGCCAAATAATTCTGGTCTCAGGGGCAAGAAAATACTAAGACATCTCACATTTGTTTCCTTATGCCCTCATTGCTACTATTATACCTAGACAGTTACAAAAAATTCATTTATACTATTCCAATTTTCATCTCACTTAGCTCTCCATACTTAAGGATTAAATTCTTGTTCATCAAACATGTGTACATACTTAAGTAGTTATAATTAACAACTAGGGTCTGGATGATATTATTTGCTTAAAAGATTGAAATAATAGACCCAAGTGTTGTTATAAATAGTTCATGTTAATCATGCCAAGAGAAAGGTATTAATTTGCTAGCATATAGAAAATGTATAGAAACAATTAATGTGGTAGCACATAGAAAATGTATAGAAAATAATGAAGGCATGGTGGCTAAAAGTTCTGCTCTTTGATATTTCTGATTTAAAATCCAGAACAGGAAACCTTTCCTCTTGGACTTAAAGAGATAGAAGTCTTTAAACTCCAGAGATAAAAGTCTCTGCCAGGAGCAGTAAGCCCATTGTCTCTCATTAGAGTACCATTCTTCCATAAAACATGTTAAAGAATGTGCAGCCTGTAAGGGACACGTGCTTAGCTTTCTTGCAGCAATGTTTCTGGCTTCTTTAATATGAATTACTGACCTCTCAGCACAACCCTTAAACTTCTACCTGCTACACTTATGCAAATAGTCACTCTGAATCCAACATGATACCTTTTAGTTAGTCTTGGAACATAAGTATTGCAGCTGTCTCATGGAAGAAACAGAAAAAATTTCTGTTCAGTATGGAAATAACCCTATAAAGCTTATGATAAATGAAGGCTTATGAATTTTATGTCAGTTATTGCAGTCATCACTATAGCAGTATATTTCCTTGGGTTCTTATGGGAAATTACTTTCTTTGGCACATTCTTGGGAATTATTTCCTGTGTTCCATTAGCTGCGCAAGATGACGTCCTAAAATGACGGATGCAGTTCTATTGTTTTGTTAGAGTGCTCTGTAACTGCTCTTAGGACTCCTTGTTTGAATGCATATTATATTCTCTTTGAATATTATCTGAGAATATGATTCATAGTTTAGTCTTAATGTTTTCAAAAAATCACTTAATGAACAAGAAGGAAGCTTGTTCTGGTAGAAAGAGCAATAAACAGCAGAACGGGTAATCCTTGTTCTAGTCATGATTCCACTGCCAACTCTGTGAACTGTGGCAAATTATTTTAGGTATAGTGTCTGTTTCTTCATTTATAACTTGTTTTTTTCTTTTTTCTTTCCTTTTTCTTCAAGGCACAGCTTTACTGACTAGAGCAAGTTAGTTGTCAGGTGTTAGCTACAAGAACAAACTATATTTGGAAGCATCCCAGGCTCATCATCATGAAAAAGAACAGGGTAACAGATTTCTCTACTAACATTTTCCTTTGAAATAACAAAATATGGTTATCTGCATAAAGACAAATAAGAAAATATTCTTATTAACTGAATTAATTGATTTCAGTATAACTTATTTTTAAGTCCCTCTTCAGTTTATGTTTTCTATTACCTTAAGATTGTCAGTATTTACTAAATATTAAGTATGTAACTTAAAATTCTATTGATGAGATAAAAATTAAATACAAAAATTAGGGAAAAGACATAAGCAAGTGCTGATTTATATAGCATATTAGTAAGGAATATTAGTTGCAAGCAACAGAAGTCCATTGACTAAATTAAGCAAAAGTTGAGGTTATTTGAAAGATAACAGGCACTCTGAAAATATGTTGCAGGCTAGGTAGGGGGCCAGGCTTGCAAATATGGAGGATACCAGGGAGCTGTACCAGGGAGCTGAGACTAGCCTGGGCAACATGACAAAACCCAGTCTCTACAAAAAAAGTACAGAAATTAGCCAGGCGTGGTGGTGCGTGTCTGTGGTCCCCATTACTCAGGAGGCTGAGGTGGGAGGATCACCTGAGCCTGGCAGGTCGAGGCTACAGTAAGCCATGATCATGCCACTGCACTCCAGCCTGGGCAACAGACTGAGACCCTGTCTCAAGAAAAAAATAAAATAAAATAAAAATGAACTCGGGTGGATAATGGATAGAGCAGAGAAGCTGAAATAGAGCTACCATAGCATGGTGGGAACAGCCTGCTGTTATGTTGATTCTGCTGTTATGTTGACGTCATTGTATGTGACCGTCAACCATTCATATTGTTCTTGCCTCACTTGCTCATATTCACTGCATGGGACAGGAGCATTCAATGGGCTAAGGTTAGGTCGTGTGGCCACCTCCTGACTGTACTTAGAGATGGGAACTTCGCAAGGCAGACACCCCCAATGTGATCTCCAACTCTGATCATACACATAGAGGGGATATTACTTCCTAAAAGGAGGTTAGAGTGCAATGAAGAAGTAGAATGGCTAATGACAGGTGTCTACTGTATATTAAGTCACAGAGACTAGACAAGAAAGTACAGAGACTAGAGAAGACAGTTCAGTTTGGAGTTATTGAGAGACTTTATGAAAGACGCTGGATAAGCCATCCCATTACTGGGTATATACCCAAAGGATTATAAATCATGCTGCTATAAAGACACATGCACATGTATGTTTATAGTGGCACTATTCACAATAGCAAAGACTTGGAACCAACTTAAATGTCCAACAATGATAGACTGGATTAAGAAAATGTGGCACATATACACCATGGAATACTATGCAGCCATAATAAATGATGAGTTCATGTCCTTTGTAGGGACATGGATGAAACTGGAAACCATCATTCTCAGCAAACTATCACAAGGTCAAAAAACCAAACACCGCATGTTCTCACTCATAGGTGGGAATTGAACAGTGAGAACACATGGACACAGGAAGGGGAACATCACACACTGGGGTCTGTTGTGGGGTGGGGAGAGCGGGGAGGGATAGCATTAGGAGATATACCTAATGCTAAATGACGAGTTAATGGGTGCAGCACACCAACATGGCACATGTATACATATGTAACAAACCTGCACGTTGTGCACATGTACCCTAAAACTTAAAGTATAATAATAATAAAATTAAAAAAAAGAAAGACGCTAGATAAACAGAAGTTGAGATGAGATCCAGAAGGGAGATTAAAAATGCTACACCAAAGAAAGAAGGTAACAAAGATGCCAACAAAAAAATACAGGCTGGGCATGGTGGCTCATGCCTGTAATCCCAGCACTTTGGGAGGCTGAGGTGGGAGGATCACATAAATTCAGGAGTCTGAGGCTGCAGTGAGCCATGATCTATACTGCACTCCAGCTTGGGTGACAGAGTGAGATCTTGTCCAAAAGAAAGAGAGAAAGACAGAAAGAAAGAAAGAAAGAAAAGGAAAGAAAGAAAGAAAGAGAAAAGGAAAGAAAGAAAGAAAGAAAGAGACAGAGAGAGAAAGAAAGAAAGAAAAAGGAAGAAAGAAAAAGAAAGAAAGAAAGAAAAAGAAAGAAAAGAAAGAAAGAAAGAAAGAAAGAAAGAAAAGAAAGAAAGAAAAAGAAAAAAGGAAGAAAGAAAGAAAATATATCTAAGCCATCTAAATTCAGTGTGTGGGATGAACTCCACTCCTGGCCTAATGCGATCTTCCTGCCTCAGCCTCCTCCAAGGTTTTATTGATGAATTTAATAGGGTGGCTTTATGGTGAAGCTGCATAGTTTCTAGCAACAGAAGCATACCGTCCTTCGATTAATAAGTTTCAAGGGTTATTAACAACCACTAGGACCACAAAAGACTTCTGTGGCTGAGATGTTTGAGTTAAATTTTAATTCTCTTTTGCCCACCATATAGTTAGAACTGAGGCTTATGAATCTTATTTCATTTTTCTAGAAAATAAGCTGGATTTTTGTGATAGCAATAAGACAACCAATGAAGACCCCCACCTGTCTCTGTTTCAACATAATTTCAAATAAACACATAAAACCTACTTCAAATGTAACATTTTCATGAATACAAACTTCGGGATTCCTCCCCCCAAGCATATGAAGTTACGCAGATCTGTATTTGAATTTCATCTTCTTGCTTACTAGTAGAGTGATGGTGGATGAGTTACCTGGATTATTTGCTTTAGTCTCATCAGTATAATGAGAGCAGAAGATATCCAATCACAGAACTTATTATAACATCAATCACCACTTTGAGGGGTGATCTAGGTGCATATTAGGGACTTAAGAAATATTAATATCAGTTAATTGAATTCAAAATAATCTGTAAAATGATAGAGAAGTGCTTCTTTATGTTGGTTGTTATGAAATTATATTACTGTTGTTTGTGGTAGTCCTGTAAAGCAGAGCTCTCACTTTTTCCCAGAAACAGCAGGAAAAGCAAACATTTCTCTAGATAACATGAGTAAACATGAATAAAATGTATTTACAGTATCCTACCTTGATGATGGATTTGTAAATCTGTCTGCTTTCAGATGTTCAAGACCGAGGGAAATTGCACAGGAAAATAATCTTGTATTTCTTTATCAAAACTAGCAAAAGTCAACATGTATCATAAATTGGAAAAAGTCTGTAAGTCTGGAGTATTTTTTAAAGTGTTTTATTTTATGTATTAGCTTGGTGTGCTTGGTAGCTCAGGGAGGGTGGTGATTACTGACTTTCCCATCTTTAATTTAGTTTTTCCCACTAAAAGTGACAACTGACACAAGGTGGGCTGGGAAAACAACAAAAGTGCATTTTCCTCCCCAATTAGAGGTAAAGAATATGTTCTTTTTGTTATAGATTCCTGTGCATAAGGCTGAGTAGGATGCCAAAAATTAATGGGCTGCTATAGTTAACACCATTGCTCAGAAGCAGGAATGCAAAGACAGACTCTGTCAGTGAGAGGTGGCAGCAGCTGGCTCTCTAAATACCCCGCAGAACCATGCATGGGGGCTTTACTTTGGTGAATTTATCAAAAGATATGGCCCTGAGCTTGTCTAGGCTTGAAGCCCTAAAGTTTTTGTCGACTCATGAGAATGGATGCATTTCTCAGTGACAGATTCATGGAAACCAAACTCACAAGGCTGATGTCTAAAATTGAGTGCCAATTCATTAATTTTTAATGGGAAATAGAAGTGTTCCACTAACCAGAGAACTATAGTCTATGAACAGTCCATTCTGTCTGTGTAGATAAGTGAACATGAAATGTCAATTATGACCTGAAGCTTACTTGATGAACATAAAATCACAACAAAATAAACAGGTTCAGTAAACATTCTTTAACAGTTAATGCCATCTCAGGATGCAGTCAATTTCATTGGCCTGAGAGCTTCATCTCTCGCTTTTATATCTCCTTTCATCAGTACTGTGTGCTAAGTTTAACCGTTAAAGGTCCATCTTCCGTCATCTCCCAGCCTTAGGGAAAACTGTAATCCTTTATGTACTGAGTACAGGAGAAGTCTACTATTGACTTTCGCTCTTGCCAGGTGTCCTTTATAAAATGAGGTATAAATTAAGATAACAAGCACAATTTAAAAAATGTGTATTTAGGCAGCACATAGAAGTCACACGTATTCTCAAAAAGCTGAGAGCTTAACAAAATTGAGTCATACAGAATTTATGAAAAAAATGTATTGACTGTTATTTACTGTTAAAGAAGGCAGAAAGGGTCATCTGGGTGAGGAGCAGAAGAGATGCTAGATCTGAAGGTCTGAAAAATTTCTGGTCTCTGAAGTATTCGGTAATGAGAGTACTTCATCATCCCTCATTACCAACTGGATGAAATATGCGTAAACACTGTCCATGCACTTATCCTTGGATTCCAGACCCTCGCATGCTTTAGTAACTGCAAAGACGATACCCTGAATTGTGCAAACTACATTGGAACATACGTGAAATTAAGCTCTGTTGTGGCTTGTAGCTGGTTGACCTCTGGACTGTTGGGAAAGTCATATTTAATATATAGTTTCAAATTTCTTGCCCCACACTAATTTTGTTTTTCCTTACATTTCCAGTAAAGTGTGGTATGTGACAAAGGTCAATGAAGAAAGTAAAGGAAAGGGTTTGGGGATTGCTCAATGTCCACTTCCACATCCCCCATCCCCAGATGCATCCACAGACCCTTGTGTAGCAGCATCCTCTGCAGAGTCTATAGTCTAGGCATTGTTGGCCATGATTGAACCCTGGGTCCACAGGTACCACTTTGAGGGGTGATCTAGAATGGATCTAAACCCAAACTACCAAGATTCATTTATATTACAAATAAAAACAATGTCCATTCCCTCCATTTCAGAAAATCACATCTTTAAAGAGTTTTGTCTTTTTGTCCTGACTCTGCTCTTTGCCAATCCAAAGTGTCTTTGTAGGTGGCATTTCCTGAAGATGTTCAAGGGAAAATATTCGATTGAAGAGAAGTCTCTTTTTGAGGGGCAGCAAGGATGTCCTAGATTGGAGAATTCCTGATTCTTATTAGAGAGAGGTGAATGAGTCTGTATTTTTGAGAAGAAAGAAAAGAAGGAGGGAATCTGGAAGGCAAAAGTTTCCCAAGAGCAGTGGGAAGAACATATGAAGTTACACTGATCTGTATTTGAATTCTATCTTCTTGCTTACTAGTAGAGTGACGGTGGATGAGTTACCTGGAGTCTTTGCTTTAGTCTCATCAGTATAATGAGAGCAGATATCCAATCACAGAACTTATTATAACATCAGATGAGTTCACAAACAACATACCCATCAAGGTGCCTAGCCCACTGTGGTGTTCAAGTGCTAGTTTCCTTCTTACCACATAATGTTGAATTGTACCAGGTGAAAAAGAGGACTTCTGGGATAATAACCTTTTCTTCCTGGTTGATTGAAAGTTTCTCTTACCTTAATGTGATTGCCCTGATAAAACCCAGAAAAGAGCTCTTTCACGCCTTGTCTGCAGACATTCCTGCCGGCAATCTCTTTCCCTGATTCACTTAGTGTACTTACCCTTGCTGTGATCACCCATACAAGAGGGAGATTGGTTCAATTCTGCAATGAGGAGAATATTTCACTCTCCCACAGCGGCAGTAATGGCTCTTCTGCCCTTGGGGAGAGAGATAATAGGGGCTACTGAGTTATTTGAAAGTTTCATCTGTATAGTTTTGTCCTTTTCCACTTTTGTCCATTTGATCTTAAGCAATTTTTTAAAATACTTCTTGATGGTATGCCAAGCCGGGATCTGGAGGTGGTTCACTTATTGTTATATTCTCATTTGTTTTCCAGATCTTTTAAGATGGATCCATCTAACTTAGTTTTACATTGTTTTATAATTAGCAGTTTCTTGTACCCTCTGATTCTTAGACTTCTTTACCTTCTGTATGTATGTATCTCTGGATACCATAAATACAATATTACAGTGAACTAACATTTTCACCAAGCAGAATCAAATCTAATCTCACATAACTTGTCTTTCAAATGTAACAGCTAAGGTTGTGATTACCTGGGGGCCCAGGGCATGAAATGAGAATACTAAAACAAGAGTATAAAATAAGGCAGATTGTTTTCCAACAGGAATTAGATATATAATTAAAATTATGTTCAACTTTTTAGGCATAGTCTAGATTTGACTATATCTGGGATACAGGACACAATAAATACTTTGTGTCTCTGACTAGCAGTGAAAACATCTAATTTTTAAAAATGTACCTTTAACTGTAATGTCCTATATTGTAAAGGCAATCAGCTAAACAGTAGATATGGGAATGGAATATGGTTAATATATACCTACACAGAAATTACATTTGGAAAGTGCTGATCACTTGGTTTTCAAAGAAGAGATGATGATTTGTTATAGTCACTACAGAGACATCACAGAAGCCATTGTATGTTTGTAGTTGAATTTAAGATACAGAAAACTCTGGTAAAGCTTTTCAAGTTGTATTCAAATCATTCAGTGAATCAGAGGTGAGAAATGTTCTAAATCAATAACCAGCATTCTAATGTGACTTTTATGTAATTCCTCAAGAGGAGGTCCAGGAGACTCAATGCAATGTGACTTCTAGTCAAGCCCAGACAACCTGCCACCCTGTTCTTCCAAAAGTAAAAATGAACACATGGGAAGGAGCAAAGCTACCCACTTGGGATTCTATTGCTTTTCACATGTTATTTTCCATTCTGCTTGCCTCCCCCACCAATTTCTCACCCCTGCTATTTCTTTCACTGCCAGTATGGCAGAGAAAAACAAATGTGGTATTGGTACATATTGGTGAATATTGTACATATTGGTACTTGAGTAAGATTTTCTATTTCTGTTCACAGTGCAAGGGTGCCTGCAGAGCAGGAAAATTTTTCTACAGTCTTAAGGGTCCCTTGGGCCAGATGCTGACTGATATCCTGCTGAATTTAGAAATTGTTATTTAAGATGACCTTTAAATACATTACTTTACAGATAATTAGGACATAAATTAGATTTCAAAGAACCAACATAGCAAGATGATTAAGGAATAAGCTCCAGAACAGAATCCTCATTCTTTATACACCTTATTCAGTATGCAACTGTGGGTAAATTACTTAACCTTTTTGTGCCTCAGTTTTCTCATTTGTAACATGGGGATAATCATAATGTCTACCTGATAGGCTTGCTGTGGATCAATATGTTGATATGTAAAGCATTTAGAACATGCCTGGCTCATGATTAATGCAATATAAGTGTTTGTTTTCTTAAGTCTGCAATCCCTTATGTGCAATTCTGAAATTGAAAAGCTGAAAACAATTGGTTCATCTTGTAGCAAACTCATTCAGTGGTAAGATCTGACCGGAACTGATCTGTGACAACTTATAAACTTCACTTATCCCACTTTGCATGAATATTCATATGTAGGATGGTAGAAGTATTAATGCGTTTCATTAAGAGCTACTGCCATACCCCTTGGGGTTGTTACATGAGATAATTCACAACTTACTTAGATCCAAGACATTCTGAATTCCAAAGGACATCAGGTCCCATGGGGTTTTCTAAGAAATTGTTGACCCATGTTGCTGTTATTTCATCTGATACGATAGTAGCACCATTCTTGTTTTTTATTTGTTAATGGTTTGAAAATGTGGAGGCTTTCATACATGGTGGAGTTAAATGACACAGTGATCTCCCAAAGTTTGGGAATGAAAATTCTGATTAATCAGATATTCTGACTAGTACAGAGTTGATTTATATATGATTAGCTATGGATTACACATTTTTAAAGAGTTTGTATTGAGTATCATCAATCCTAAAGCTTCCTTCAATAAGTGCAGCCAATATTAATTGAACACTTCCTTTGTACCAAGTGCTATGTTAAACAACTTACATGAAATTTCATTTAATTTTCTAAACAGGTCTGTAAAGTAAGCTTTTAAAATCATCATCTCACTTTACATGTAAATAAATTGAGAAGTCATGTAGGTAATCACTGAAACTCAAGCCCAAGTTTGGGCACTCGAAACACATGCTCTTATACATAAGTTGATTATATTTAAATATAAATTGATTATCCTTTGAAGATTCAGAAAGAATGACTCATGACATTATTGTGTTCCAAAGACATCATTAAGAACACTACTACTTATTATGATTGCATTTATCATGTCTTTTCTATATGCTAAACATTGTGCTATGAATAGAATTATGCTTCGATTGTGAGCAATTCCAGTTTTAAAAAGTTGATTCAAAACACCTAAACAAATATTGTTTCATTATTTCTATTCAGTTTCACTAGACTTGCTACTCTGTGGTTAGTGATTCAGAATGAAAAGTGAATAAAGCAAAGGTCTTGCTTTTTAGGAGATTATAATCCCAGGTAAAGTGGTTGCTCTGGGGGTTAATGTGTATAACTTTTTACTCTTAATTTAGAGTTAATAGGGTACCTAATTTAGAGTAAATAGGGACATTTAGCCTACACAAAATGTGGAAACTTTACTATCATATAGGCTTAATATTCCCCCACCTATCCTTTATGTGATATAATGATATGATCATATATCATGATGTATTGTGCATTATATATAGCACAATTATCATGTATGATTACATCCACATACACTATAAATCCTCAATAAGTTTTATAGTTTTTGACCTAAATACCTAGATATATTTTAAAGAGATTAAGTAGTAGTTTTTTATATTTACCCAGATATTATATTTCCAAGCATCTTCATTCCTTCCTGATGATCTGAGTTTTCAGCTGGTATAATTTCTCTTCAGTTTGAAGAATTTTATTTAGGATTTCAGCAGATTTGCTAGAAGACACATTTTCCTAGTTTTCTTTTATTTGAAAATTGTATTATAGTATTTCACTTTCAGTCCAATAGGATATATTTGCTGCATATGAAATTCTGAGTTGACACTTTTTTTCCAGAACTTTGAAGATATTTGTTTATGGAATTATGGCCTACACAGTGTCAGATGCAAAATCTGGGATGATTTGAACCTTATGTAATTATGTTATTCTTTTTCTGGCTTCTTTCAAGAGTTCTCTTTTTCTCTGGTTTTCAGCAGTTAAGACTACGATGTATTTACACATAGCTTCTTCATTTATCATGTTTGAGGGTCACCGAGCTTTTTCAAGCTTTATATTTATGCCTTTTACCCAATTTTGGAAAAATTTGGCTAATTTTTCAAATTTTTTTTGCCACATTCTTTCCTGTCATTCTGTGATTCCAATTATACATATGTTATGTCTTTTGATATTGTCTTAGAGTTCTCTGAGACTCTGCTCATTTTCTTCCAATCTTTTTAATTTTTTTGTCTATTCTTCAGATTGGACTATTTCTATTGTATTATCAAGTTCACTGACTAGTTGCTCTGTCATCTCTATTTTGCTGCTAAACCTATATAATGATTCTTTTTACAATTTCAGACATTTTATTTTTTAGTTTTAGAATTCGTTAGCTTATTTTAATAAATATTTCAAAATATTTCATATTTTATTTATCTTTACTGAGATTTCCTATTATTTTATTTATTGCTAACATATTTTTCCTTATTTCACTGACCATAGTTATAACAGCTACTTTAAAATCTTTGCCTACTAATTCCAACTTCTGTATCATCCAGGGTTGGTGTATATATTTACCAACATTAGTATAACAATATTCTATCTTTTCTGTCGAGAAAAGTAATACTTCCTGTTTTAAAAATATATTCAGTAATTTCTATACCCTGGGCACTGTCAGGGTTATATTGTGCATTCTTTTATAGTCTTCCAAAAGTTCTGATTTTTTTTTCAGATATTAAACTCGGGTGGACTCAAGCATCAAACGCTGTCTCTTGTGTGGCAGCTAAAATCACAGTTAATTGTTAAGAATCTTTATCTCGATTTTGTCTGGCAAGTGCATCATTTAGGAGTCAGCTAAAGTTAAAAAAACGTATATTGAGATATAATTTATAATTTTACATAGCATAAATTAACCAAATATAAGTGTACAATGTGATAAATTTTGGTAAATTTGTGTATTTGTGTAAAATTACCTCAATTCTGTTTTAGAACATTTCCATCACCCCCTAAAATTTATTTGTGCCCATTTGTTGTTAATTTCCACTCCCACCCATAGCCCTAGGCAACTGTGGATCTACTTCTGTGTGTATAAGTTTACCTTTTCTAGAAATTTTCTGTTAATAGAATGGTACACTATATAGCCATTTGTGTCGGTCTTCTTTCACTTAACATTTTTTTGAGGTTCATCTATGTTGTTGAATACATGAGCAGTCTACTCTTTTTCGTTGCTGAATAGTATTTTATTGTGTGCCTATACCTCATGTGTTCATCCATTCATCAGCTGATGGGCATTTGGATTACTACCAGTTTTGGGCTATTTTGAATAATGCTGTTATTAACATTTGCGTACATGTCTTTATGTAGATGTATGTTTTTATTATTTGCCTTATCTGCTTTTAAATCCAAGTATTAGATTCTTATTTCAGTTATCTTTTCAACTTCTACAATTTCCACTTTATTTTATTTAGTAGATTCCTTGTTTCTTATGAATTCTCCATTCTTTTCTCAATTTTCATGAACATATTAAACATTATTATTAGTTTATTATTGTTTGTAGAAACAAAGTCTCACTATGTTGCCCAGGCCAGTCTCAAACTCCTGGGCTCAAGCAATCCTTTTGCCTCAGTCTCCCAAAGCACTGGGATTACAGGCATGAGCCGCAACACCTGGCCATAATGTTATTTTGAGGTCTCTAATGATAGCTCCACTATTTGGGTCATCTTTACTTCCATTTCATTGTCAAATCTTTCCTAGTTTTTTGTTATATGTTCCAATTTCTTATCTTGCCTAACAATATTTGATGGAATACTAGAGATTCTGTATGAAAAATTATACAGGCCTTAGATGACGATATCTTTCCCCAAAGATAATTTAATTTCATTTTGGCAAGTAGATAGAGATATAACAGGTCACTTTTATCTAGTCAAGAGTGGATTCCAAGAGTGGATTCTATACTGTGATGGAACTGGTCTAGTTTTAATTTGCCTTTATTCCTTATTTTTTACTTCTAAGGTATAACCTTTTTATGGTCTCATGTGAAATCATGGGGGTGTTTCCTGGGTCCCCTCTACTTTTGTGAGCCCTGAATTATAATCTATATGCCCTTGGTACTACCATACTGCTAAAATCTTTGCTTAGCTCTTTGGCATACTGGTACTTTCTGCTAGATGTTTAGGAGTCTTGCTTTGTGTATATGCAGTTTTGGGGATGGCCACCCCTTGCAAGGAAATTGCATGCAGAATTTCACGCTTACTTTTATGTGTTTTCTTCCCCAAATTTTAACTCTATTACATGCCCTCACCCCCAAACTCTGTTTCTTCAGCCCAGTGAGAGTGTCGTAAGCCAGGTTTGTCTTTCTTTTTAATCTCTGTTTCTCTCAGATGCAAATTTGCAGATGTCTTGAAGGGAAATACAGGGCAGAATCTCACTTCAGTGTGTTTTCCTTCTCTCCCGGACTGCTGCTTCTCAAGTCCTGTCTGCTGGAAGTGCTCTTGAATGTTGTCAAACTATTGTTTCATGCATTTTATAGTTAACTTGGGCAAGAACTGCTCTGATATGAGCATTTCTGAAATAGCTGCAAGCAGAGTTTTCCCAATTATTTGGAAAAACATACAAGAAAATCCCTACTTTTTGCTGCAATATACTTCTGTAATATAATTCCGTCAAAGCAGTGAGTAATTTTTTTAATCAGATGCTTCTATGGTGCTTCAATTTAGAGTTTCATTTGTGACCAGAAGGCTTGACATCAAATAAATCCCAAGTTATAAATCAACTATAAAATTTACACAAGAATATAATAATTTAAAATTGTAAATGCAGGCTAGATTTCTTTGTGCAGCATAGAAAGGACCTCAACATATGTGATGTGTAATGTATTAAAGAAAAAATTTTATTGTACTAATATTGTGCTCCATTGTTAATATATCAGCTACTATTGGCATTTAGTTTATTATATTTTTATCTTAGAATGTAAAAAAAAATTAAGGAATGACAATTTGAGTGGCCCAGTTCTTTTTAAAAGGTCTCTAATACAGTTAAATTACTTGCTACATTTTATCTAAATAAGACCTTTATTGAGAATTGAATTATTTTATTAATCTTACTTCTAACCAAAAATATTATAGCACATAAAATATTTATTGATATTGCTGTTGATGACTATCAAGATGCTGCTTCTGCTAAACATTATTTTAAAAGTAATGATTGGCTGGGCACAGTGGCTCACATCTGTAGTCCCAGGATTTTGGGAGGCCGAGACAGGTGGATTGCTCTAGCTCAGGAGTTTGAGACCAGCCTGGACAACAAGGTGAAACCTCATGTCTACCAGAAATACAAAAAATTAGCCAGTGTGTGCCTGTGATTCCAGCTATTCAGGAGGATGAGGTGGGAGGATCACTTGAGCCAGGGAGGCAGAGGTTGCAGTGAGCTGAGATCACACCGCTATACTCAATCCTGGGTGACAGAGTGAGACCCTGTCACAACAAAAGTAAAAATTGACTAATTATTTTTCTCTTTCTTACCCTTGTCTAAGGTTTTGCAAACTGTAAGTATAGCTATTACATATCAGAACAGGAAATAATTTTTGCCTATTCACTATCATTGATACTTTGACAATTATCAAGAGGCTTAACATTTTATTATAATCTGCATGAAAAATGAACATTTCCTTTAAGAAAGAAGCTTCGGCTTGACTTATAGAATTGCAGAAGTAGCTATGAAAATGTAAAGATTATATAAAAATGTTGTTTGTAAGGGAAAATTTAAGACTTTGGAATGCACAAATGAGATTACTGTATATAAATTCAATGCAATGCTAGAGCCTTTGGGGGTTATTGAACATGTAGGGATATGCGATTTTGTCTTTAGCTAAGCTATTTTACTACTCTGTATACGGTAAAGTTAACTTGAAACAGGTAGCAATGCAAATAATTCTTGCCTATAGACATGCAAATAAATTCTATCTATGAGGGGAAACACCTTTTCTCCTGTGGAAAACTCAGTTTTGCAAATTCATTTCAATATTTCAGATTCATAAATTTGTCTTCTATGAGGTCTCTTTTGAACCCATTGCAATAGGTCTCTCGATCAATTAAAGAGTTAAATAACATCTTTGACATGTGTTAATCATATATTTGTATGAGAGTCAAGTTTTTACTTTTTTGAAAATGACTATAATTCATACCATATATACATTCAGATGAGGATGGAATTTAGGTTGATAGAACAGGTGAAATGATGATCCGTGAAAGTGGGAAAGACAAGAGTCTGCTTCCTTCTCTGGGCTTAAAATATAGATTCACTCAACACAGGAAACAGGTCCACAAAATCACAGAGATTGCTCCAGATTTTCTTGTTGTTTGTTTTAGTAGTGCTTATACAAAGTCTATTTTTGCATTAAAACTGTTGCATACACTGCAATCATTTTTAACACTATTCCTTATTTTACTCTTTATTTCAAAGTTTATAGATTGATATAGTGACTAAAACTGTCCACATTTCTGATAATGAATATCAATAAAGAGGGAGTGGAATAGCTAGAAGCACAAACAATTATATATTTGCAAATCATTCAGATGCAGGACAGTTTCCTAGGCCACTTACAAAATAAAATTAGGTGCAATTCTGTACCCCTTCCCCTGTGGAGAAAATGCAGAGTGATTTTCCCATCACTGCTACTGCACTAGATACCCAGGATTTTATCTCTCTTATCTTGGGCTTGAAGGAGTTTCTGAAGTGTCATAATTAGAATGGGGGTTTCTCCATAGGGTATTCAGACAGGACTTGGTAAAATCATATAACCCAGGAGGCATCATCCCTGCCCAAAATCAATAGATGAAGCACTGCATTCTAATTAAGTCCTTCTTGTTGTTAATGAGAGGTTCAACTGGGATAGTGACATTCTCATACAAGTGAAGACTCCTGCTTACTCATCTTCCATTTAATACCTGGGCACTGTGTAGTGTTCTTGGCAGTAGCCCTTAATTAGGTCCATCCATTTGTTTCTTTCCAGGCAGCAGGCCCTCTTCTACCTTGTTTGGGCTCATGAGCTCCAGGGGCTCCTTCTGGTACCCTCTTTCCTTTATTCACCTCTTCTTAGCTACCTTTTAGCTAAGCATGGGAGAGGTGAGGAAAATCCATTCCTCTCTATTCAGATTTCCAACACAGGCACTGCCTCTTTCCTCAAATTCAGTTCTCCTGTTCTTTTCACAATAAACCTTGATGGCTCATTACCCATAGAGGCTGAATCATTAACAATCAAAATATTAGTTCTTTTTCTTAATATCTGAACCCTGCCTCGAGGCAAGGGAAAATATTTGCATTCCATCATTCTCTGCATGAAGGAAAGGAAGTAAAAATGAAATAGTTTTAGTTTGCATATTTTAATAGCCACAAAATTGGTGTCCTGCCACAGAAAAAAGTGTTTGGGAAGTTTTAGGAGGTAGAAAACAAATATTGGAGCTAAAAAGCTGTCCTCATTACTTGATTTTCTTAGGTTTGAAATACAGAAGAAATGCTAAACTGGCCTAGAATCTCTTACCCAAACCACTTGAAGTCTGATGTATATTTTAGAGTTCAAAAATTTTTGTATTTTAGAATAGTAACATAAATTCATATCACAGATGTGGATTTATTATGCAACTTCTTCCACAGGCACCTGGGGCAGCACTGCTTGCTTAAACACATTTTTTTTTTGTCACAAACATGAATATCCACACTGTATAGAATAAATAAAGGCTTTATATGACATCTTGTGAATTAAGATCAACTGTAGCTACTAAATAATTTCAGATTAGGTTATATTTTGCTGTCAAATGAGTTAAAAATTTCTTGAAACTTCAAGAGTTTTCTGGATTTTGGAATTTTGGATAAGTTATTTGGGCATATAGTTCATCAGCTTTAATAAGTCATTAATTATAGAATGCACTACCATATAAAGATAGTTTTGAAAATAAAAATTAGACCTTTCATTTATTATTATTTCGTATGTTTTTACTTTTTGGCTATCTCTTAGTGGTATACATGTAATTTCATTGTATTGTGGGCAGTGAACATACACTGTTCTGTTGCTAATTTGTTGAAACTTCCTTTGTGGGCAGCACATGGTTATTCACTGTAAGTTTCTCATTTATATTAGAAGAAAATTATTCTCAGAGTGTATGTATTCATATATATGTAAACATACATGAATATACTCATTGATGTATATGTATATATGTATATTATATATGTTAGCAAATAAATGGGTTAAATGGGTTAAATTATGTTATTCAGACATTGTCTATACTTAATTTTTTTTTTTGAGATGGAGTCTTGCTCCGTCGCCCAGGCCTGAGTGCAGTGGCGCAATCTCAGCTCACTGCAAGCTCCGCCTACCGGGTTCACGCCATTCTCCTGCCTCAGCCTCCTAAGCAGCTGGGACTACAGGCGCCTGCCACCACGCCCGGCTAATTTTTTGTACTTTTAGTAGAGACAGGGTTTCATCGTGTTCGCCAGGATGGTCTCGATCTCCTGACCTCGTGATCTGCCCGCCTCGGCCTCCCAAAGTGCTGGGATTACAGGCGTGAGCCACCACGCCCAGCCTACTTACTTATTTTTGAATATGCTTTATCTGTTGCTTTCTGAGACAGGCATCTTAAAGATTCCTACTATACCTGTGAAGGTATTAGTTTCTTTTAGGAGTTATAATTCTTTTTCTCATAAATGTTATATTGATTGGTGCTTAATATTTTATGACTTTTATATGAATGAAATATTTCTTTTCATCTCTTATTTACTTTTGCCTTGAATTCTTTTTTTTTTTTTTTTTTTTGGTCTGACATGAGCCTTCTTTTTATTAAAGTTTGCCTGGTATGGACTGCAGCTGTATCCATGTTGCTGAAACGGACATGACTTAATTCTTTTTTATGGCTGCATAGTATTCTGTGGTCTATATGTACCATATTTTCTTTATCCAGTCCACTGTTGATGGCATCTAGGTTGATTCCATGTCTTTTCTCTTGTGAATAGTGCTGTGATGATCATACATGTGCATATGTCTTTATGGTACAATGATTTATATTCCTTTCGCTATATATCCAGTAATAAGATTGCTGGGTTGAATGGTAGTTCTGTTGTAAGTTCTTTGAGACATCTCCAAACAACTTTCCATGGTGACTGAACTAATTTACAGAAACTAAATATTGCACATTCTCACTTATACACTAAGTACACGTAGACATAAAGAAGGGAAAGATAAATACCGGGGCCTACTTGAGTGTGGAGGATGGGAGGAGGGTGAGGATCAAAAAACTACCTAGTAGGTACTATGCTTGTTACTTGGGTGACAAAATAATCTGTATACCAAAGCCCTGTGACACATAATTTACAAATTATATAACAAATCTGCACATGTACCCCTTGAATCTAAAATAAAAGCTGGAAGGAAAATAATAAAAGGAGGTTAGCCTGGGACACAAGGGTTTGTATTTTTAAGTCTTTTTAAAAAAAAGGAAAACAAGGGGAAAAAACCCCACCAGTTCTATCTAGCCGGTGTTTGGCCTTGCCTTTAACTTCTTAGTCTGGGGCCTCACTGCATTTAGCAATTGTATTGTTTATATGTGTGTTGTGTGACCAATTAGTATCACCAAGTTCATCTTAGATTGAAAAAAAAAAAATCCCCAGATAGAAGTAGTTGCATTCATAAGCCCTTATATTTACAGTATGCCTCTCCCAGAAAGCTCAAAACACAACCCTATGGTATAACCTAGTTTGTTCCTAGATTATCTCCATGTGTTTGGTAAGGAGGAGCTTCTGTAATTATTATTGTCATTGGACGTTTCAGAATGGAGAAAATTTATAGGTTGAAAAGATCACATGGCATTGGTGGCAGAAGCAGGAAGGAGATATCCAGCTTCCAGTCCTGTCTTTATTAGTGATTTTCAAACTGAGGTCCACAGACTAAGGCCTAGAGGGCTGAACAAGAGCCACTTGTAGAGCTAGCTAAAATGAGAGATTCCTGGACATCACTTCTTTAGAAATTCCTATTCAGTAGGTCTGGAGTCAGACCCAGGAGTCTTTACAAGCAATTCAGATAATTCTGATTCACAGACAAATTTAGGAACCAGTACTATATGTCATATGACAACTAAGCTACCCACCTTGTACCGTCAAAAAAAAAATTTGCCTGGTATGTTTTTTTCCTACTCTTTTAAAACCTGCCTGTGTTGTTTTAATTTGTATATCATGTTAACAACACTCAATAGTTTGTTAACAGAGACTGATTAGCTTAAATCTATTTTGGGAATTTCACCCATTCATATTTATCATAATTACTGCTACGTTTAGAATTATTTCTACCTTCTCATCCTGAATTTTAAATTTATTATAATTCTTATTTCTTTTTCTCATGTCCTTTTTTATGTTGCATAAAATAAAGATTTTCCTCATTGTTTTCTCTTGTTAAAATTTTCTCCCAAGACTGGGTGTGGTGGCTCACGCCTGTGATCCCAGCATTTTGGGAGGCCGAGGCGGGTGGATCACGAAGTCAGGAGATTGAGACCATCCTGGCTAACATGGTGAAACCCCGTCTCTACTAAAAATACAAAAAATTAGCCAGGCGTGGTGGTGGGCCCCTGTAGTCCCAGCTACTCGGGAGGCTGAGGCAGGAGAATGGCGAGATCCCAGAGGCGGAGCTTGCAGTGAGCTGAGATCACGCCACTGCATTCCAGCCTGGGCGACAGACAGAGACTCTGTCTCAAAAAAAAAAAAAAAAATTTATCCCAAAACTGGGAAATAAGGCAGAGGGAATAAAGCATATCCTTTCATGTCATACTGGGGGTGACTAAGGAAAGCAGATTACTTAGTGATCTAGAGGAATATGCCCATGTTTAAATTTGCTGTTTGCTATTTGACTATAGCTTAGACACTACGAAGTTACATATTAATTTGTAGATTTTTGTCCATTAAGAATGATAATCCTATTCATAACTGTTTTGTTTTGTTTTTTCCTAGAGTACATTTTGTATTGTTAAAGTGTAATTTTCAAAAAGGTAAAATTAATGACTCTCATAAAAAATGTTTATATGACAAACATTTTATTCAACTCATTTATTAATGAGAGAACTAGTAAAATATTAAGATAACTTCAAACAACATTTGGGAAGCTACATATTTCTGTCATTTAATAACATGTTCAAAGAAAATTTAAAAATAAAACTGTCTAATAGTCTACAGGATAACAAACCACAACCTTTGAAGCTGTTTTCTACCAAAAGAAATTATTTACACCTCCACTGGAAAAAATATAAAAGTTAATATGTAAATTCATTAAATCTGGACCCTTAATCAATGATAAGCAGTGAGTCGAAAGAGTACATTTCTGTAAATCAGGGGTTGATAACTATAGCCTGCAGGGCAAATCTGGCTTGCTATGGGCCAAACCTAGCCAGCCTATTAGTTCATGTATTACCTTTGGCTGATTTTGTGCTAAGAACCTGTAGCTTGCAATGCCAAAAATATTTACATATTCTCTAGTTCTCTACAGAAAACATTTGCAGAATCTGCCTTAAGTAACCCTTGATTAGGTCTGTGCCCCTTTATAATATCGAAAGGCAGCTGCTTTAATTCCACATTTTGGATAATTTTTCTTAATATTGTCTAACCTAGCAATTTTATTCTAACATTTTTGTTTTTAAACATTTATTTATTTATTTATTTTTATAGATATGTGATCGGTGGGGGGGCCATGTCTCACATTGTTGCTGAGGCTGGTATCGAACTGCTGGGCTCAAGTGATCCCCTCGCCTCAGCCTCCCAAAGTGCTGGGATTACAGGTGTGAGACACCATGCCTGGCCCTATTCTAACATTTTTAAATGCTTACCAAAAAAAAAACAAGCCATTTTATAAATCTTTAACATGTGTTCTTTCTATATTTTCATGACAGTCATGCTTTTAACTTTGAAAATTATATTTTGATGCTTTTTTCCTCTGTTATCTTCATGTTTTTAGCATGCACACTTTTTAAGTAAAGAGTATCTTTATCTTCTTCTTCCCCCTCCAAAAAGAAAAAAAACTAGGCTTGTTTTGTCCTTCTTTCTTGTCTTTCTTACTCACCTGAACTCCCTAACTCCCATCTCATTAAATCTATTTTTTTTATCATCTGGGATTGTAGCTCCAGTCACCATTAAAGACAAATTTAAAAAACAATTAGTACTTACATGGATATGACAATGAAGATTTACAAGATGTCTATTGATTATTGCATACCATTAATTCCTTCTAGTCCACTTTTTTGGTTTGGTATGTTGCTATTATCAATTTTTTCGAAGATCACCAAAGGATGGTAAAATTTCTGAGTTCTATGTATGAAAGTCTCTTAATTTCACTTTTTGGGGCAAACTTGCCTGCATATAGATTTATATTTTTAAAGTTTTATTCTTTTAACATTCTGATAATGTGAATTCATTATCTTCGTATATTGTTGATGAGAAGCCTAATATCAATCTGATTTTTCTTCCTTTGTGAGTAATTTTTTTTCTCTTTCACTTGTGGCTTTTAGAATTTTTTCTACTTAAAAAATATTTTGTAATAATTTCCAAGTACAAAAGAGTTGTAAGAACAGTATAAAGAATTGCCGGGCTGGGTGCAATGGCTCACGTGTGTAATCCCAGTACTTTGGGAGGCTGAGACTTGGAGGAACGGAGAGGGGCCAGGCGGTGGGGTGTGAGGTGGATTGCTTGAGGACAGGAGTTTGAGACCAGCCTGGTCAACAGAGAGAGACCTTGTCTTTGCAACAAAATACAAATAATTTGGCTGGTATGGTGGTGTGCACCTGTAATCCCACCTCCTGGGGAGGATCACTTGAGCCCAGGAGTCTGAGGCTGCAGTAAGCTATGATCTCAACACTGCACTCCAGCCAAAAAAAAAAAAAAAAAAGAACTGCCATATCCTCTTTATCCAGATTTCCCAATTGTTAACATTTGTACTCTCTCTCCTTAACTATTGTTATTCTTTTCTAAATAATTTAAGAGCAAATTAAGGACATGATGCTCCATCACAACTAAATATTTAAATGTATATTTCCCCAGAATAAAGTCACGCTTCTACATAATGACAATATAGTAATCCAAAGCAAAAACTGGTATTAGGCATCATTACAATCCAATCTACAGATGCATTCAAATTTTATCAGATGTTCCAAAAGTGTGTGTATGTGCATGTGTTTTTTTCATTACTTGTCCAGGTTCAGATGTATTTAGTTTTGTGACTTTAATTTCCTTCAGTCTGGAGAAATTCCTCAGTCTTTGTTTGTTATAAACTTGAGAATTTTAAAGGACAGGTCTTCTGTTTTGTAGAATGTCCCTTTTCTGTGTCCAATTGATGTTTCTTTATGTCCAGACTTAGACCTAGCTGACTTGGTGGAAATACCACAGATATGATGCTGTGTTCTTCTCAGTGCACCCATCTGGAGGTACATAATGTTGACCAGTCCCGTGACTGATAATGCTGATCTTAATCATGTTGGTTTCTGCAAAATTTCTCCATTATAAAGTCACCATTTTCCCTTTGTAAGTGTTGAAGATTTTGGAGAAAGATACTAGATTATACCAATATATTGTTCTTCTTCAAACTTCTATCAAGAAAACTTGGCATCAATTGACAGCTCCCGTCTGCATCAATTACTATTATGATGGTTGCTATATGATAATTTTATATTTCTCTTTCTTTTGGCTTTTATTAACAGAATTCTACCAAGAAAGAGCTTTTCTTTATCCTGTATGTATGTATGTATGTATGTATGTATGTATGTATGTATGTCTATATCAACTCAAGGATTTCTATTTTATTCATTGGGTTGTGATCAATTATTATTATATTTTTAATACTCAAATTTTCAAGATGTAGCCAGCATGAGTTCCTTCAGAGCTGGCTCCGGTTATTCTTTTAGTACTGTCTTACTTTGCGGTACAACAAGATGTTTCAGACTCATTTTGTGCTTTTCTTGCTCCCGTCCTAGAATCAGCTATTTCCCCAAAAATCTTGAATTCCTTTCAGTGGAATATGAAATTTTGAAACTAAAATCTAGGCACTCACTTATATTCATTGTTAGTTCTTAAAGAGTGTCATTGCTTCTAGACTCTTTCAGTGAATAAAACATATATGTGTTGGAAAGAAAGAGGGGCACAACAGACATTGGGGCCTACTTGAGGGTGGAGGGTGGGTGGAGGGAGAGGCTCAGAAAAAGAAAAAGTGTCAGGCACCATGCTTATACCTGCGTGATAAAATAATCTGTACACCAAACCCCTGAGTCACAAGTTTACCTATATAGCAAACCCGCACATGTACCCCTGAACCTAAAGTAAAAAGTTAAAATATTTAAAATAACAAAAATATGTGTATATAAACATATATATATACACATATATGGATCTATACACATTGCTTTATAAACATATAGAAACAAACATGTTCACATGGATACCTCCACTTTCAACTTGACAGCTCAGGGTCCTTTCTAGCCTCCCTCTTTTTTGTATTCATTTTTTTGTTTGTTTGCGTTGAGATGGAATCTTGACCTGTCACCCAGGCTGGAGTATAGTGGGGCAATCTTGGCTCATCGCAGCCTCTGCCTCCCAGGTTCAAGGCTGGTCTCGAGCTCCTGACCTCAGGTGACCTGTCTGCCTCAGCCTCCCGAAGTGCTATGATTACAGGTGTGAGTTACTGCACCTGGCCTAAAGATACATTCTGAGAAATGCTTCATTAGATAATTTCATTGTTGTGTGAACATCATAGAGTGTACTTACACAAATCTGGATGGTATAGCCTACTACACACCCAGGCTAGATGGTATAGCTTATTGCTCCCAGGCTACAAACATGTACAGTATGTTACTGTACTGAATACTGTAGGCAATTGTAACACAATGCTAAGAGTTTATGTATCTAAACATAGGAAAGGTACTGTAAAAATATGGTATAAAAGGTAAAAAAATGGTACACCTGTAGAGGGCACTTACCATGAATGGAGCTTGCAGGACTGGAAGTTGCTCTGGGTGAATCAGTGAGTGAGTGAGTGGTGAGTGTGAAGGCCTAGGACATTACTGCACACTACTGTAGACTTTATAAACCCTGTACACTTAGCCCACACTAAATTTATTTTAAAAATTTTCTTCCTTTAATTATAAATTAACTTTAGCATACTGTAACCTTTTTACTTCATAAACTTTTTAATTTTTTAACTTTTGACTCGTAACACTTAGCTTAAAACACAAACACATTGTATAGTGATACAAAAATTTTTTTTATCCTTAGTGTATAAGATTTTTCTATTTAAAAAAAATTTTTTTTACCTTTTAAACTTATTTGCTAAAAATGAAGACATAAACATGCACATTCACCTAGACCTGCACAGGGGAAGGATTATGACTATCCCTGTCTTCCACCTCCACATCTTGAAGGTCTTCGGGGGCAGTAACACACATGGAGATGCCACCTCCTGTGATAACAATGCCTTTTTCTGGAATACCTCCTGAATGACCGGCCTAACTTGCTTTACAACTAACTTAAAAAAAATTATTAGAAGAAGTACACTCTAAAATAACAAGAAAAAGTGTAATGTAGTAAATACATAAACCAGTAACACAATAGTTTATTATTATCAAGTATTATATATTGTCCATAACTGTATGTGCTACACTTTTCTTCAACTGGTAGCACAGTAATTTTACTTACACCAGCATCACCACAAGCATGTGAATGCAACCGCTATGACATCATAAGGTAAGAGGAATTTTTTAGCTCTGTTGTAATCGTATGGGATTATCTTCCTATACTCTGTTCCTTGTTGACAGAAACTTCGTTATGGGGGATACGACTATATTTCTTTCTTTCTTCAAGCCTCCTGTGTGTACCTAATCTCTTGACCACAGTAGTATCTCTTTGGCAATTAGCTCCCTCATTACTCCTCATGGTCCCTTTATTCCCCACCCTATGACCCTGTCTCCGCTGCTACTGCCTTAAGTCCATCGCTGGCCCCATTGCCCCACAATCCCTTCACCTCCATGCCTGCCTTTGGTCATGATGCTGACTCCAAAGAAAGAGGTGTTAGGAAACCAATTAGGTAGGCTAAAATGAAGAGGAATAGAAGTGTTTTCTTCTCTATACTTTGTGTTTTGAAATTTTATTCTAATGTTTCTAGTTTGGATTTTTTTTTCCTATTGAATTTAACTTTCTGATTGCATGTGAGGAACGCTTTTGACAGAGGAATCCCATCACTTTTTGTTCTTAAAAATTCTTTGCCTCTATCGCTCCAAATATAGCTATTCCTTTTTGTCTTTTGTCCCCCCTTAGGAAAATTCCTTAAGTCAAGATAGAGTAGAGTTCCTGGATCTATTTGCTATGTCTCTTACAATTTCCTCCACTGTTTACATCTCATTACCTCTGTTTTATGCTCTGGAAGAATTCCTCAGCAATATATTCCAGCTACCAATTTACTCTTTAGTAGATACATTAATACCATGTTATTCAGTCTGTTTACTAAATTGTGTGTTTATATATATATATATATATATATATATATTTTTTTTTTTTTGAGACAGAGTCTCACTCTGTCACCCAGGCTGGAGTGCCACGGCACGATCTCAGCTTACTGCAACCTCTGCCTCCCAGGTTCAAGCAATTCTCCTGCCTCAGCCCCCCGAGTAGCTAGGATTGTAGGCATGCGCCACCATGCCCAGCTAATTTTTGTACTTTTAGTAGAGTGGGGTTTCACCATGTTGGCCAGGCTGGTCTTGAACTCCCGAGTTCAAGTGATCTGCCTGCCTTGGCCTCCCAAAGTACTGGGATTACAGGCGAGAGCCACTGCATCCCGCCTTAATATTTTTAATTTCTAAAACCTTTAGCTGATTATTTGTATTACTACTTATTCTTATTTCATAACCACTTGTTCTTATTTTATTATTTGATTACATGCTCTGCTTTAATTCTCTTATAGTATTAAATATTCTTTGAAATACTTTCTATTAACTCATTTCCTCAGGTGTAAGTTCTTTCTTGTGAGGTGAGAGGCTTGAGTGTGTTAACAATCTTTCCCATTTTTGCCAAGGGTTGGTAAGTCTTATTTGACTGTTTATCTTTATAACAGAATTCTCCTGGATATGTGCTGATCTGTAACATTCTCCTACATGGGATCCAATTTGAATCCTTGTAGGAATAATGTAGTTCTCCTTACAGAACATGACATGGCTATGGCAAGGGTAGTATTTTATTTCAGGATGGCTGTCTTGACTTCTCAGCACAGCAGCTCTGACATGCTTCAGATGTAAAGGCCTCAAACATTTCCTGCTTATAATAACTTTAAATTATGATGGCTTTCCACACAATGGATGCCTCCTAAGTCTATGGCTGTAGTTTTGGTTCACTTCTATGTCTGCCAGTCTTTTCGTGATGACTCACAGTTTCACGCCCACTAAGTTTCTTCTCTTATTAAGGCTCCTTCCTTCTTTCGTGCCTGTTTGCTTGCTTTCTTTTCTTTCTTTCTCTCTCTTTTTTTCTTTCTCTTTCTTTCTCTCTCTTTCTTTCTTTCTCTTTCTTTCTCTCTCTTTCTTTCTTTCTCTTTCTTTCTTTCTTCCCTTCCTTTCTCTCTTTCTCTCTCTCTTTCTTTCTTTCTTTCTTTCTTTCTTTCTTTCTTTCTTTCTTTCTTTCTTTCTTTCTTTCTTCCTTTCTGTCTCTTTCTCTCTCCCTCCCTCCCTCCTTCCCTTCCTTCCTTCCTTCTTTCCTTCCTTCCTTTCTTTCCCTCCCTCTTTTCTTTCTTTTCCCTCCCTCCTTCCTTCCTTCCTTCCTTTCTTCCTTCCTTCCTTCCTTCCTTCCTTCCTTCCTTCCTTCCTTTCTTTCTTTCTTTTTCTTTCTTTTTCTTTCTTTCTTTCTTTCTTTCTTTCTTTCTTTCTTTCTTTCCTTCCTTCCTTCTTTCTTTCTTTCTTTCTTTTTTCTTTTTCTTTCTTTCTCCCCTTCCTCTTCCCCTTCCCCTTCCCTTTCCCTTTCCCTTACCCTTACCTTCCTTCTTTTTTTCTTCTCCTTTGGTTTGGTAGGGAGGTTAAGTCTAAATCTTAGAACCAGAATCTATAAATAATATTTAGTACCTGTATGTTAATAAATTTATGAAAGCAATGAAATTTTATGTCTGTAGCTTCATAAATATTGACTCTAACTCTTCTTCATATTTGGAGCCCGAAGGCTTTCCTGAATCATTCTCATCCATGTATATATAGCACTATATGGAAAACACATTTCCTGGGAGACCAAATTGTTTAACATGTTTAGGATCAAAACATTGATACTGTACCATGGAAGAACACTGATATCTTGTCTGTATATCATGTTTGATTAAATTCACACTTTCTTTTTATCTTTAATTGAATTAAGTATTTCTGTAAGTTAAATAGAGTCTCTTGAAAGTCAGTCAAAGGTTTTTAACAGCTATTTGGGAGCCTGATTATGGTTCCTTATAAGCACGTATCATTTGGACCAATCTCTGCTAGTTTTGAAATTTTGAGGATTAAAAAGATTTGGCAATTTCTATTAGCTTTAATTGCACCACCTGGCTCTTGCCAGGTAATCTTTAGCTTCTGCTACCGCAATAACACTTTATTTCAGTGCTGCTTCATAATATCTTCTGAAAGCATGTTAAGTAAAAATTTAGAATCTGAATTTAAGTCAATGTGCAACTATATGGTGCGTGAAACCAGTGCAGATAACAGGGTCACAACCCAATGCCATTTTGTTTACCTCTAGTTTGCGAGCAAACAGAATTTTTTTTTTTACTTGGATTTCTTCTATCCAAGTAAAGATTTCTTCTTGATTTGAATAAGTTTGTTTATGTGCAGGCAATGCCAGCTGCATCACTACTTACTTCTCAAAGTATTTTTGGACATGACTTGTGCAAAGGTATGTTTTAAAGTCAAGAAAATGTGGTATTTTTCATTTGACCCAGCAATCCCATTACTGGGTATATACCCAAAGGATTATAAATCATTCTACTATAAAGACAGATGCACATGTATGTTTATTGTGGCACTGTTCACAATAGCAAAGACTTGGAACCAACCCAGATGCCCATCAATGATAGACTGGATAAAGAAAATATGGCACATATACACCATGGACTGCTATGCAGCCATAAAAAAGGATGAGTTCATGTCCTTTGCAGGGACGTGAATGAAGCTGGAAACCATCATTCTCAGCAAACTAACACAAGAACAGAAAACCAAACACTGCATGTTCTCACTCATAAGTGGGAGTTGAACAATGAGAACACATGGACACAGGGAGGGGGACATCACATACCCAGCCTGTCAGGGGTGGGAGGCTAGGGGAGGGATAGTATTAGGAGAAATATCTAATGTAGATGACGGGTTGATGGGTGCAGCAAGCCAGCATGGCACATGTATACCTGTGTAACAAACCTGCATGTTCTGCACATGTACCCCAGAACTTAAAGTATAATAATAAAAAAAAAGAAAACATGGTATTTTTGTTAAATATGTAAAATACTGAATGAGAGAATCTAAGCAAAATAGACACAATAGTCATGGAATAAGAAGAAGCAATCAGATTGGTTTCTATATGAAATAGGTCTCCTTTAGCTGCATGGAAAAGGAAACCTGATTCTAAATAGCTTAAGAAAAAGAATGTATTGGTGCCCATAACAAAATGTTAAAGGTTTGACACAGGACTCAGAATATCATCAGGCCCTAGTTTTGCCACATCTCTCTAGTTTCATATTTCCTTTGTTGGCTTCATTCTCAGGCTAACTCTAGGCCTAACTTCTCCAAGGCTCAAGTCCAGAGGAAAAGAGAAAGTGCAGTTTCCACAAAAATCCTGGGAGCCATTGTAATGGGACCAGCGTAGGTCATGTGGTCCCTGACCCAATCTCTTGGGGGATCTATTGCTCTAAGTGGCCAGGAACTAGGATGGTATGCCAACCAAAACACATGGATTGATAGTTGAGGGTGGAGAAATAGTTCTGGAAGGAAGTTTGTGCAATTTAATTTTAAAAAGGAGGAAATGAATATTGGGAAGTTAAGAACAACAAAATGTCATAGATATGGTTGAGTACGGAAGACACAGAAAGAACAGACTTTTAGGTTTTTAACTCCCAATCGTAGAATCTGAAAGTGGCTGTGAGTTCTCTTTTATTACAGAACTAATCAAATTATAAAGGTTTGTAAAAGTTTCTAATTAGTTTTCTGTCATCAATCTCACATAATATTTCTGTTCATTTATGTATAGACTAAAGAACATTTATTTAGAATCAAACTAAAAAAAGAAAAATATATAGAAAGTAAAATAGAAAAAGGAAAAAGGAAATGTTTCCTTAATTAATCCAAGTGCACTTGAGACTGTTTTTATTTATTACGAAGACCTGGAAAACTTTAATTACATTGCTCCATTTGACTTTAGTGAATAGGTAAATAATTGTAAAAAATTCTGTTTGCTCACAAACTAGAGGTAAACCTAACATACTGTTTATTATTCCATAAATCCCAGATACAGTGCACTGCTTCTGCTTCTGGTCAGATCTCAATCATTCTTGTTTACAGACCTACCCAATAGCATAAATATATGCAAAATATTATTGTAATATAGTATTCTGGCCTCAGAATTGATGTATAACACGTTTCCTTTGAGGTCTTAACAGATGAAAATAGAAAACTAAAACAACAATAAAAGCGGCCACTGGCTTTCCTTTCTTTCTTGCTTGCTTTCTGTTTTTTTTTGTCTCACTTTGTCATCCAGGTTGGAGTACAGTGGTGAGAACATAGTTCACAGCAGCCTAAACCTCCTGAGCTCAAGCAATTCTCCTGTCTCCCAAGAACTGGGACTACAAGCACTGGCCTACACACCTTGCTAATTTTTGTATTTTTGGTAAAGACATGGTTTTGCATCTTGTCCAGGCTGGTCTCAAACTCCTGAGCTTAAGCGATCCTCCCACCTCGGCCCCCCAAAGTGCTGGGACTACAGGCATTAGCCACCACACCCAGCCTCCACTAGCTTTCTTAACCAACAATACTCTCAACCTTTCCCTGTCACTGTGCCCCCAACACGCAGACTCTTAGGACTGGATAAACACACAGAACTGAGTTGTTCTTCACTTAAGGTCATAATTAGTCTAGCGTGTTACCTGGCTCACAGCTTCTCTACATCTTTTGCAAAAATGAATATAGGTGCCATCTATCTTAAGGGTACTTGCATTATAAAAGGAAATTCTTGAGGACTCTAAATAAACCCCAGGAACAGTAACTGGGATTGTGGGAAGAGAAGTTCCTGGGGGAGGGGGGACGCCTGAGCCCCACATTTTCCGTGGAGCAGCAAACACGATCCAGGTATTTTTCAAGTGTTTTGGCTTATAGATGTAACCTCGCTGCCTCAAAGTACATCCACTTCTGGGCATGTGTGTGACCTAAGGATACTAGAAGCCCTCCCTCTTCCAGTTCCTGAGAGAGTGAATAAATAAAGACCTGGCAGCCATCTCACAGAGGCTGCTGACACCTGCTCAGGACAAATCCCAGGGCAATGTGCTTTCTATCTTCATTGCATGTTCTGCACGAAGGACTAAACTTTGTTTATCCTCCATCCAGCTAAAGAGATTATATTTCATGGCCAGCTGGTTCCCTTTGAGGCAGAATTTGGCTCCTTAAATACGGTACTTGTCTAGATAAATGTTTAAGTTGTTTCACAAAGGACATAAGATCACCTTTTCTTAGTAGTTTTTTCACTTTTCATTAGTCTAATAAGGGTTATTCATATGCTTGCTGACAAATTTTTTGTTTTGATTTTCCCCCTAAGAACAGTACAGAAATATTTTAAATCTGTAGAATGAATTCCTTCTAATTTATCATTATTCAAAGCATCCTCCCTTGGGGTTATGAATATTATCCCATTAGGTCTGGAGTTATTGGCTTTCAATTAGTATACATATTTTCAACTAATTTGGGGGGAAGTCTTTCTTCCTTTTGGCTTTTTGTGTATTTCCTTTTGCTTCTGTGTAGTACTTTTCATACTCACCTCTCTCAGTATAGCCTTGAGTGGTTAGAATTCAAAATTTAAGTCACAGCGAAAAATCTTAAAAAGTGCATCTGCTTCTAAAGAGCCATAAATATCTCCTAAAGCCCTGCAGTGAATAGTTATGGTATCTATTGCAATGTCCAGCAGACAATCTGCATCGTTTTGCTTGTTACTTAAGTGAAAAAGATGTAAATAGTTATGAATTATCTGTTACTATCCCCAAATCAAAAATCGGAAGGAATATCAACTCTTTTCATAAATCTTCTATTATGGATTATTTTGATGTTTATGCTGCTCATTTTCATGGGGCCCTCACCTGCCACCATGGGCTGGATCCTCATGAATGCAGTGGACACAGATGTGATGAAGCTTCAGACTGTTTCATTACGGCCAGTTTGCCTGGTTTCACATTAAAGAAGGAGCTGGGAAGTGGCAGTCCCTGAAGATCACAAAGCAGCGACCATGAAACAGGCTAAATGAGACACCTCTGATTTTTCAGGCATGACTGAGACTGATGGTGCCACAGCTGTGTAGGGAGAACACATAGCAGAGCAGTTGTGTGTGTCTCTGGAGTCAGGCTGTCTAGGTTCAGGACCCAGATATTCCCAATTACTTGCTGTGTACTTTTGGACAAGTTATTTAACATCTCTAAGCCTCAGTTTCCTCGTTGTAAAATGGAGATAATAATAGTATCTAACTCACAGGGTCGATGTGAGGATTAAATGAGCTCATGCTACTGGAGTACATGGAACAAGGTCTGGCACTAAATAAACACTCAGTGAATGTTAGCTGCTAAGTCCTGTCTGCCTTGTAACTACTCCTTGACTCTGAACTATGAAAGCTCTTGGAATCTGAAATGCTCATTTTGGTACTTGATCGTGCATTAATTCCTTCATCTCCATTTATTGAGGTGATTTTAATACCCTGCAGATTGCTGAATATGGTTTAAACAGTGTGTAAGCAAGTAGACTGCCTATTTTAGTGCTGTTCACAATTAAACTGACCTCTGATAAATACTTACTGAAAGCTCTAGGTCAATACTAAAAAAGCTCAAGGAATATTGTGTTCTGTTAATGGCGGATAAGTGTACAGCTTATAGAAGCCTTACTTTGTTCCTCATTGCTAGCATATTGGGTTTAATTATGGGAATCTACACTCTAAGAATTGCACTAATAACAAGAGGATATCATAGGAGGGTAATTATGATGGGAGGGTCTAGAAACTTGCATTATATGAGAAATAGTTGAAAGAACTGGATGATGCAGCAGATGAGAATTTCTCTTTCTTTGATGTAGGTGTTGTTGGAGAGGTTTGCAGTTTTTAGATTTCTATTTACAGTCAGGCTTTAATACGTATTCCCGAGGCTGGTTTAGGGGTCATTACCAACAAAAGTCACCACACTTTAGTATCTTTACTCTTACAGCTACTATGGCTTTTTTTCTAAGTCAATTTTGTCATCCTTGCAATTTTCTTTGCATAAATAGTTCTCCCTAAAGTCTCCTTAGTTTTTACTCAACTGAGCTTCTTGAGGGAGTGCCTACCAGTTTGCCAGGGGGGCATAAGCATTGCTGAATCCTGAATCAAACTCACTTTATGCCCTGTCCCCCAGACTCAGTAGGCTCTAGAGCAATGGAATAGAAACAAGTGAACTGACATACTGCAGAGAGTCAAGAGGCCGGGTGTCATAATCACCAGGAGATAACTGGGTTGGACAGAGTGGATTCAACGCTTTGAGCTGTCTGAGAGCATGCTCTTGGTTTGAAGATAAACTCTGTAACTTTACTGCCAACTGTACCCTCTTTTTTAGATTGCCCTGCACTCTGGGGATTCTCACTCTCAAGTGATTTGTGCCATTTGGTTTTAATTACCACTGTAAGAAAGTATATGGTTTATCTGCAAAATAAAAAAAAATCACCATGTTTATATTATATTTGAAATAGGGGACTGAGTATATAAATATGTAGATCAAAACATCAGTGAAATGCCCCAAACTGCTTTCTTTCATGATCTGAAATTTGAGATTATTGGATTTTGCACTTTAAAAAACCAATTACTTTAGCTTTATGTTTGTTTTTGTTTCCAAATAGGAGATAACGCAACTTCAGACAGCTATTTGCAGGTCTTTCCCATGTGGATGCACCCACTCTTTAAAGCTTTCTACTACCTGAATGCCCCTAACTATAATGTTGGTTTAGCTATGTGTTTTGGATGCTTTGCTAACCATTAAAGTTTGCTGTTTACACATCACAGTTATATCCTCCATAACCTTTTTTTTTTTTTTTGCAATAGTTAAAACTCACGTAATTGTAGGAAATTTGATGTAAATTTCAGTCCTCTCTAGAAATATTTAAAACACTGGATTTTTTAGAAGCGTATGAAGAATAGTATTTTAACACATAGCTTTTATTTTCACCAAGCCCACGTTAAACCAGGGTAATTTTATTCCATGTTGTGTAATGTTCTTACTTGTGATTATTCCTGCAGGTTTCTCTTTTTCTTTTTTTAAGGGCAACAACTAAAGGGCAACAACAGCTGCTGGAGTTACAGTTGTCAGACATTTTAGGTAGCTTTCCCCTTTGCAATAAACAGTTCTGTCGAAAATACCAAACAGTGTATATGTTGAGATTGCCACCCACTGGTGAAAATAGAGAATTTCCATTTTAATGAGTAATTTTAAAAAACATTTGTTTTTTTGTTTTCAGAATATGAGTTTGTACATTTAGGTTCTTTAAGAAATATGTTTCAAATCCCATTAGGAGGATTAAAAATTTCATTATTACAAATCAAGTTAATGTTCTACTGGAAGCATAAAACAATCATCATTATGAAAACATTTAAAGACCTTTATTTACATCTCTTGTATCCTCCACAAAGAAGAAAAAGTGAAAAAAGTTGTAAAACTAAATATGCCAAAGTGTTATCAGTGGTTATTGTTGATTAAAAGAGATCAAAATAATTTTTCTGCTTCCTTACAATTTTACTTACATTTTTCCTACAAAAAGCTTGTATTGCTTTAAAAGAAAATATAAACCTAAAGAAGAAAAATAGTTACATGTATGTATATAAATTTAAATGTATCTTTGGTGCTTTATGGAGTGTTAAAAAAGAAAAAGTATCACCCTAAATCAATGCCACATTTAACTAAACAGATACAAAAGGAACAAAAGCTTAGAGATTGAACTGCAGCTTTCATCACTTCACTAGCACAAATTTTAAATTCAAATGCATACATAAGAATTTATTATGTGATAAAGATGTAATTTCAAATCCGTGTACAAGGATGCTTGGTCACCTTACATTATATAACAAATAAATCCCAGATGTTAAAAATTCAAATTCAAAATTAAATAAACTTTAAAACATATAAGTGAGGCTGGGCATGGTGGCTCACACCTGTAATCCTAGCACTTTGGGAGGCTGAGGCGGGCAGATTGCCTGAGTTCAGGAGTTTGAGACCAGCCTGGGCAACATGGTGAAGCCCTGTCTCTACTAAAATACAAAAGAAATTAGCCAGGCATGGCAGTGTGCGCTTGTAGTCCCAGCTACTCAGGAGGCTGAGGCAGGAGAATTGCTTGAACAGGAGAGGTGGAGGTTGCAGTGAGCAGAGATCGCACCACTGAACTCCAGTCTGGGTGACAGAGCAAGACTCCATCTCTACAAAAAAAAAAAAAATCATATAAGTGAATATTTAGCTTAAGCAAAAAGGCAAAGAAAAAAATTATGAAGAAAAAATATAAAGGAAAACATATGTGCATGAAAATTGCCATAAAAGGAAATGATAAAATGGAAAAATTATTTATAGCATACAGAATGGACAAAATAAATAAGACATCATTTAAAATGGTCTATGAGCATTTGAAAAACACATTTAACTTCAATACTAATCAAAAGATTGTATGTTTTTTAAAAATGAAAAGTTTTGCTATAAAATTGGCCAAGATTTAAAAGATTTTATTATATCCAATGTTATCAAAAGTACTTCATGTTATAAAACTATTCTGCTGCTTAAAATTATTTCTTAAGAAGATATATAATAACATGGAAAAATGCTCATATAAAATTTAAATTAAAAATAGAATTTAATAATAAAATGGTTTTTTCTATATCTGTCCAGAAGTATATATTCCAAAGTTTAAATAGTGATTATCTGTATTACTTGAGTTATTGGTGATAATTGGCTTCATTCATTTCTGTATTTTTTAAACTTTTTGTAAAAAAAATTGCAAGTATACAAACTGCTTATTAAATTTTCTTTAAAATCGGGGTATAAAATAATACATATAGTTTGATTAATATTTTAGTAAAAATGAAAGTGTGTGTATATATAATTACATATATTTAAAATTCATATGTGTATTAAAACATATTTTAGAATTTTAATAGTGATTATATGCATGGTTACTTATATGGTTATGTTTTTATGGTTTAAGTAGTGGTTATAGGTGGCTATAGGTGATTATTTTCTTCATCATTCATTTTGTGATTATTTCACTACAGATAAAAATGTATGTGATATATGTATACATTAAAAATTATCTTTAGAAAGATACTTAGTAATACGAAAAAACATTTATGAAAACTTTAGTTAAAAACACAAAAAAACACAACCTAATATATGCAGCTTGTTCACAATTTGGTAGAAATGGAAGCACATGTCTATTTTATTCGTATGTGTATATGAATAGATTTTAAAAACTTGGAAGGGCATGTTCTAAAGTTTTAATTGTGATTATAGTACTGTGAATATAGTGGATAGTTTTCTTCTTCATTCATTTCTAACTTTTTAACTAGAAATCATAAAGCCTACACATATATATCATACACATCAAATTGTATACATTAAATATGTGCAGTTTATGCCAATTATATCTCAATAAAGCTGATAAAAATGTATAATGCTGTTCAATAAAACAAGTTTATTGTTTATAAAAAGAAACATGAATAATTTTAAAACACAAAATATTCACTTTTTACTAGCTCAGTGCCCATTTGTACGGTTGGTTCAAAAGTAATTGCGGTTTTTGCCATTAATTACTTTTAATACAATACCCAATACATTTAAAAATATTTGTTCGCTAGCATTTGGCACAGTTATGAAATAGCATTTTAAACAGGTTTTAAAAGTTTGGATCTGCACATTCTTTGCAAGGTTGGTAGGGAGGGGTGAGTGGGGTAGAATATTACTACTTATCAAGATATGTTAGTCCCTAAAAAGAAATGAATATCATGTCCAAGAAGCTGACTACTTTGTGGAAACATTCAGCTATTTATTTTTTCATTACAAGACGGTGATTTCTTATGATTAACAGATTTAAGTAAGCAAGCAAGCAAGCATGATGTGAATTTTCAAAAGAAACCACTAATTTAGATCCTACCGTCTCTCGTTAACATGTCCTGTGCTGAAGTATTAAATTTATTGATTACGTGAACTGTTAAATAGTCCATCTGCAATGCAAATGTAACTTTAAAATTAAAAATCTGACATCAATTCATTTTTCTCAAGAGACTTCAGAACTAAATTAAACACTTGATATGAGGCAGCCAGCCTTTTCTGATAAAGCTTTCAAATATCCGGCATGTTAAAAGTGTGCTGCTAGGTATGTGAAAGATGGCACTAGGCAAAGAATGACAGTCTCAATCATTTTTTAATAAAGGAAAATACACAGCTCTCCTGTGAAGCTGCATACTGCTTGACTGGTGGGCAATACTAATATGTATTCAGAGATATGATGATGTATCTGCTTGTCTTGCTGAGCTGTGCAGAGACGTCTTGCACAGATGCTCCCATGTGATAGCTGGCTGTATAGTTTGGTCTGCCTTCCTTGCAAGGCTCACAGTCTAAAACCCCAGCAGCTAATTTTTAAATACTAATGCATAGCACAGACCTAAGAATGAATAGAAATACTCATCCCTGAGGCATGTCATGAGTTGATTATAATAAAAATTGCTTAATTATTTATTGGTAGTTGCTTTATAAATTACTCTCTGGTTTTGCTGGAGGGCATAAACTGTGAGATGGGAGAAAAGAGTTAGAGAGCTGAAATAGTCAGGGGACACTGTGGTTAAGGGTTTCCCATACTACACAAATGCCTTTGGACTTTATCCTGCAAGTGCTGTGGAAACAGGAATCTTTTAACAGGGAGTTGAAAGGTCAGAGTTGTGTTTTCTCTGTGTAATGGAAGATGGATTTGAGGGGAACGAGAAAAGAGGCAGGTAGTAACTAGTTAAGGTGAAAGGCTGAAGTGAAAAGTTGCAGTACTGCCGAAAAAGAAGGGAGGAAGCCCCAAAAACAAAGGCTAAAGAAGTAAAGCTATAGAAAAACATTTAGGAGGATATGGTAGTTGATTGGATGTGAGAACCAGAGGTAAAGGAGAGGAAAGAATTGTATTTTCTGTTTTGTATAACTGGGTAAATAGTAGTAACCCCTTTAGCTGATACTGAAATCACAGGTGCTAATGCAGATTAGAAGAGGAAACATTAAGTGGCTGATTGACCTACTTTTCCTGATGCATGCATGCAGTCACTCAGCAATTTTATAAGAGCAATTGTATAGACAAACATACAATAAACAATGACAGCAAAATTATAAACAAAGTGCTCCAACTAAATCACAAAGGGCCAGGAAAACATGAGAATCTTTTTATGAAGCTCATATTAGGGACATGGACAAAGATGTAACAATTAGATTATATTAATTGTATTTGTTATGTTGCAATGGGAATGATTTTACTTGCTATAATAATGAGCTCTGTTATAATGGGTATTCTCCTTGATCTCACCTATTCATTCATTAGAATGAGGTTTTATTCTTTTCCTTTCACAGAGTAAATATACAATAAGATCAAATAAATTTTGATGATTGCCAACAGATGGTGAGGGGCTCAACTTGAGGACCATCTGATCTTTGGCTTTTCAGTTCTTTCCGGCTGTTCTTTCTACTTAATTACCTTCCCCTCACTTCCTAATCCCTTCCATGTAATTCTACACCAAGACTGGGTCTAGCACTATTAATTTTCCACAGCCTACGCTGTTTTCTGATAAGATATTCTTTCTTAGCTGGTTGCTAATGGACCTAAACAGTCTGGTTTTAGCAGAACCTTTCAATCCTATTTGAATCATGTCTTTGCTCAATTTATTAATTCAGTTTAATGCAGAGAATTTAAAACTTACTCTTACAATTTAATCTCATTTCAAATCTGACACAATGAATCAACCACCAGTGATTTTACATAATCAAAGAACCATTTCAACTAACCTGTCTTTAAAATCCTTCTATGTGAGACATATATTTTTTTCAATCATTAAAACAGGCTTACTAGAGTGATATATGTGTTTCAGTAACAAATTTCCCTCATTACCTGAATGCATCTCTGCATCTTTTGAGAATGAAGCAGAGAAAATATTGCTGTAATAGATATTTTAACAATATATCACGGAAGCACGAAAGATTAGGAATGTCTAAACACTCAGAAAGGACCTCCTAGGGCAATTTTCTAAAGATTTTTTTATGTATATTTATATAATCCATATCTAGACAGAACCTTTTTTTCCTTGACAGGTGTATTTTAACAACCAGTTCAATATAAGGAGGCTGTCTCCGTGTTCTGTTCAATAGTCCCTAATAACACTGCTTTACCAAGGGAGACGAATAAAATTTTGTTGATTGAAACATACTGCGTCATAATGTGTTCTCATGTTTCCGTAATGTTTAGCAGTAATTTAACAAAGTGCTTGTTCATTTGAATCAGAAATTGTACATCAAAACTATATATTGTTCTACATGTAGCCTGCATTCATAATACAATAAAGCTTAGTTTTAAATATACCATCTATGTTTTGTGAATGCTAGTTAAAAATAATCCTAGTTTCTTCTGATAATGAAAGTAATATATGTTTATGTTTTTTTGAAAAATGCAGACAGATTAAAGAAAAAACCCTGGCAATATGCATCACCTCACTAGAGATAATGGTTATTAATATTTTTACATACATCCTTTCTGAATTTTTATGCATATCTGTAAAAAATAAAAATTTTTAAGCAAACTTGAACTTGTATGTAATGATTTACATGGATAATCACTGCACACATTAACTTAGATGAATTTTACTCTCTCTGTGTGTGAGACAGACAATAATTTAATTAAATTTTTAAAATTTCTCTTCATTTAGCTCATGAATATATGCTTTGGAATAAGCATGAGATGGGGGATAGGAATTTCTTTTTTCTTAGTCAATTCCAGTTTCTGTGTGTCTCACATGGTGTGTGCAACTTGCTACAGTGACTATGATTCTGATGGCAAAAATACATATTTTTCTTATAACATGGTCTATACTCAGGCCAACAACTTTCATGCACAATCACAGAAACAGCCATGTATTCTAATACTAAAAGAAAAACTGTGTGGAAGTTATGGTATTTGGTCTTCAACCTAGAGATTTTCAAGGGTAATGTTGATTATGCAAAACTTTTTCTCCATTATGTGCTGGTTTTAAAACCTAACTTCCTGCATGGGATGCAACTCCCCTGTAATCTATACTTGTTTATTTTAGCAAATAGCTATTAATTTTCTTCTATAAGTATATTTTGAGAACATTTAAAATACTGGATTGCAATCCATCAAATGGATGCACCATATCTACTTAAACCAATCCACTATTATTAGACATTTGGTTAATTTCCAATGTTTTGTTATAAATAAAGCTATGACAACTGTTGCGCTTGAGATATGATATGAGGGTCAGTCATTATATTTGCACATGGACTTAATGCTATTGTAGTGTCTTTCTTTCAGGCAATTTTATCACTCCCATGCTAAGATATAGGAAGAAGGGGGATGTGACTTCCCAATAACCAGCTGGGGGTTGCCTTCACTGGAAGAGAAGGCAATAAAACGGGATTTTAGAAAAATAACCTTTTGGTGTTTTTTGCAGACACCTTTCCATGACACCTGTTCAGAGGGTTGGATTTGCACATAGTCATGTGAACCAGTTCAAAGAGTGTATTTGTGTGGCTTTTTGAGAGCTGCAGTGCTCTAGTTCCTTCTGTCAGCTTTGCGCTGCAAATAGCCATGGCATTTCCCAAAGTTAGAAGACTTCTGTGATTCACGTGCTTGTTCCTCAGACCCACACAGCTCTCCCTCCAAGTTTAGGTTGCCCCAGACAGCTGCATTGGGGGACAGCTACGTGCTGTTCTGATTTGTGCAGTGGAGAGAAAACTTGAGTCTCACAGCTTTATGAGAAGCCTTCATATGGACTCTACTGGGTCAAAGTCTTTAGAAAAATCAAATATTAATTTATTAGCATTCATTCCTTGTCCAAGATATAAACATTTTTAAGGCTTTTGATACATACCGATAAATTTCTCTCTAGAAATTTTGTACCAATTTATACCACATCAACTGTAGATGAGAGTGATCTTTTGTCTAAACTCTTATCAACCTATTATTTTGAAAAGAAACAGCCAGAGATGAAGTGAGCTTTTTAACTTCGTGTTTCTTTAATTTCTAAAGTAACTGGACATTTTTTGTGCATTTTAATGAACTTTTGTTTTTTGTTATTGATGTTCTTTGTCTCCCCCAACCCCTCTTTTTTTCTGTACAAGCATTAAAAAATGATGTCTAAGAACTCTTTCTAAGTCTTTATCTAAAAACAAAATGCTCAAATTGCATGAAGAAGCATATATATATATATATTTTTTTTTTTTTCTTTTCTTTTTTTGAGATAGAGTCTCACTCTGTCACCCTGGCTGAGATGCAGTGGTATGATCACTGCAGCCTCTACCTCCTGGGCTCAAGCAATCCTCCTGCCTTATCCTCTGTAGTAGCTGTGAGTACAGGTGCACACCATCATACCTGGCTAATTTTTAAATTTGTGTAGAGACAGGGTCTCACTATGTTGCCTAGGCTGGTCTCAAGCTCCTGGGCTTAAGTGATCCTTTTGCTTCGGCCTCCCAAAGTGCTGGGATTATAGGTGTGAGCCACCAGGCCTGACCAACATATATATTTTCAAGGAGAAAGGAGTGCTAGGAAGAGTGTGAGATGGGTAGATACAAAGCAGGCATTCAAATACAAAGTATTTGAATTAAATTAAGTTTCTGTTTTATTGAGAAAAGTTATAAAACATTACAACTTTTGTGATGCAGTTTGTAATAGAGATGTTATTTATGGTCTTTCATACCCTTGCCCCCTTTAAAAATTGCCCACGCAGAGCTTCTGATGTCTAGGTGGCTATGTTTTATATCACACGACTCTCATGATGGGATACCTACCCAAATGTCAGCACTTACTAGGCTGTCTAGAGATTTATGAACTATATCAGAATCTCTCTCTTAGAAATCAAATAATAATAATGATGAAAGCCAATTAATAGCAGATATGAAAAAAACATGCAGAATGTGAATGAACCAGATTAGTGGTGAAGCTGTAGAGGAAAGAGTTGAAAAAGTCACAAACTCCTGCTCCTGAGATCTCTGAAGCCATCTTAAATAGAGAGCCAAGCCTGTCATGGTGGTGTGAGCCTGTAGTCCCAGCCACTTGGGAGGCTGAGGCAGGAGGATTGTTTGAGCCCAGGAATTCGAGGCCACAGTGTGCTATGATGGCACCATGAATAGCCACTGTATTTCAGCCTGGGCAACATAGCAAGACCCTGCCTCTAAAAAAATAAATAAATAAAGGAGCAGCCACGTTGCAGCTCCAATTTCAGTAGTCTGTTACCTTTCTTGCTCTTATTTCTCTATGTATGTCCCTGTCACCTGAGCTTCCTTGACTGGATCTCTGTTCGTTTTGCTTAAATAAACCTGAAGATACAAGATGATTATAAGGTAAAGTACCTATGATACAGATTTTGGACTATCTTAGTTACTACAACTCTATACATATTCCAGCAGTCATTTTTATAGTTTCCTCTTTTGTTTAATAATTGTTCAACATAATGAGATAGCCAGGTGGGAGAGGGTCCCTGGAAAAACTCCAACCAGCCTGCACACCAGGAGGAATGTGCATTGGGTGGAGACACGGAAGTTCACGCTGTTTGCAGAGGGGAGTAGTCTGGCCCCTCCTCTTCCTATCTGGAACCTGGAATTCAAATGACCAGGCGAGAAGTACTCTAGCAGGGACTCTGGCCTAGGGAGAGTCCCCGTTTCCCCTTTTCTTCTTTTTTCACCCAGTAAAACCCTGTCTTACTCACCATTCAAACTATCTGCAAGCCTGAATTTTTGTGGCCATGGAACAAAGAACCCTGTCATTAGCTAAACTAAGGAAAAGTCCTGCAACAATAAAATCACGAAGTCTGGAGTCTGTATTACTGGGCTAGGTGATAGAGATACAGAGATGAATCAGACAATCTGCCATCTAGAAGCATGTAGTTCAATTACACTTTTCTATATAGCGTGGTTGTTCATTACTGCAGATTGTCAGATCAGTGGTGACCAACTAGTTGCTAGGCAACTTGAAAGACAAGAATACAGAACGGATGCAGCTTCATTCTGTTATAAATTCTTCTTTGAAATGTTTGTCAAGAACTCTGAAGGATCTGGAATTTTCTCTACTTTAAAGCTAAGATGTTAGCCGGCCACAGTTTAATAGATGCTGGCGGAAGGCATGCAGCTTCTGGGTCAGAGACGAAAGACTTTGTTCCAGCAAGGCAAGGAACTAAAAGCTTTATATTTGCTTCAGGCCCCCTTTCCCCAAGTCCCTTGGGGAAAATGCAGAGCAATCCAAATGGATGTGTTGCAATTGAGAAACACCAACAAATGGAACCCAAAACTACAATGGGCTGGGAGCAAACCTGCTTGACATTTGCCCTGCAGGGAGCTATTATCTTGATTATAGTGGACAGTAACCTCTCCTCTGAAGGGAGACATTAACTCTCTCTTCCAAGGTTGCACACTATCATTATACAAACATCCTTGAACAGATATTTCAGAACGAAGGTCATCAGTGTCTCTGCTTGCAAAACATGCAGAAATGCCAAACATCCATGAATTGTGTTCCAACAATGTTCTTTATCTGGGTACTTTTTAAGACTATTCAAAATTGTGACTCTTATTTCTACTTTAAGATGGTCCTGTATTCCTCCATTTTTGCCATGTCCTGTTTACTAGGTATATTAGTTGAAACTGTTTTTGTTTTATATAACAGAAATTAACTTTCTCTAACTTAAGCAAAAAGGAAAGTTAGTAGAAGGATACTGGATTATTTCATAATTGAAAGAACAACCAAAAATCTAGTACTGTTTTGTGACCTCATCTGCAAAAGTTCACAGTCGTCTGTAGAGTGCTGTCATTGTCATGCCTCCATTATTCCTTGCCATTCTCCACTACAACTTTTAAATTTTCAAAAGAGAGGAGTTGAGTGGCTCAGCTTGGCTAAGGCTCTTCCTCTAGCTTTTCAGTTATGCCCAGAGGGGAAGGGCCATAAAAGCACCTAGTAAATCTTGGCTGCTCCCATAGAAAGAGAGATGATTTCTTTGGAACTTTGGCATCCTTCCCGATTGCTTTCTATTATATCTGGATTCATTTTTATTGATATTCCATTGCTCATTAGAGAAATGCAGTTATTGTTTTCAGCATTATTTCATTTCGCTTTTTAAATTAATTCAGTACAGTTTTGCTTTGTGTGTCATTTTCTTAGCCATCTTTTACCATTTTTCCATTTTTTAGAGTCATCTTTTGAAGTGATCTGAGCTAATTGAGTAATTCAAGAGTTTTTGGTAAATATAAGTCATCTCTGGTGATTGAAGATAGATAGGACTATATGTCTTTCCTTGTCAATCTTGCTACCAAGTAGTATGTCACAAGTAGAACAAGATTTAGCCTAAGTTTCATTATGTTAAATATTTATTAGTTCTCCATATATCTTCAAGACCATATTTCAACTATGAAAAATTATTATTGACATCTTTTATGCTAATTAACACACCTTCTGGTGTAGATTTTAATAATGATATTTGAAATGCCAGAATAGCCAATTCTAAAGCTATGGATTTTCCTAATTAGGATATGTCCAAGATTACTCAATCAGCCCTGGAGTGTGGATTAATGTTACTTTATAGCCCTCATGCACATATATACATAAAACCTCCTGTGGAAGTATTTTTGAAATAAATTACCTGACAGACAATATAATAGGTCAGATTTTAGGCATTTAGTCATGTACTCATGCTAATTTCCACACTCCTTTGTAATTAACATTCTTCCTGACTGGATTAATTGGGTTTGCAATAAGTAATCACATTTGTAATATTGTAACTGTTCCCAAATTAATTGCTCACATGTTCAATGAGCCATTACATGTTCTTTTTAAAACAGCTTAAAGAGCCCACTATTTGAAAGCTGTAGTCCTAAACATTTTGGGGAGAGGGATACAGAATCACCTAAAAATATGATGATGTTAATAAACCAGTGGTTCTCAAACTCTGAGAGTACATGGGAACCACCTTGGTGTACTAATTAAATATAGAAATATCTTGGGTCCACCCCTAGCAATTCTGGTTTGGTAAATATTGTGTGGGATCTGGAAAAACTTAGAGAAGTACAATATACTTTGTCTTCCTAGAAAAAGGCACATAGGCACAGACTTCCAACTTTGCCATTGACTTTAAGGGAGGGTTTCAGAACCTTGTGGCTTTAGTCTCATACAGTTTTCCTCAAGACTTCCTGCAAATTGCAATCACCGAGGGAGTTTTAAATAATATTTCAGACCAATTAGATAAAAATAACGAGTGGTAAAGGTTGACTAAACAGTCTGCATGATTTTCTTCCCAACCCAGAATGCAGACTAGAGATTTTTTCCCAATGTATCAATCTATTTTACTGAATTAGACTTACTTGGCAGATACCTCACAAAAGTGATAATAAAAAGACCAATAACCCTATACATCCTACAAAATACGCAGTTTAATTTGTGTATTGGTGAGAAGGCACATCATTTTTGTCATTGATTTGTCTTTCTCTTTTCAATGGTTCAAAAGATTTAGTGGACTTTGTTCTGTTTTTGATACATAGCCCTCCCAAGTTTGAGAGAAGGAAAGCAAAGCTCTTTTTATAATTTATGGTGTCAAGGTGACCATTTATTGTGATATTTTAGTGGAAGAAAGTCTAAGAAAACATGTGGAGGTTAAAACTGACCATAAATTCACTATATTTTTAAAAGCATTCCCAGTTGTAAATAAAAGTATGTATTTGTTGTGAATAACTCAGAGAAATTGTTAAATGGGCAATTTTCTAGATGCTATCTGAGAACGGTTTTTTTTTAAAATTATTTTCATTAGGAACAAACCTTATCATGATGAACAAAGTAGCAGTTGGAAACTCTAGTTATATTGATAAACTTTTAGAAATGATTTCAAACTTCTGTATTATAAGGGAAAGTAGATCTATAATCAGTGTTAAAAAAACCATTTTGAAAATATCTATAATCAAAGCTGCTTCTATGTTTCTTTGAAGTGGATCCACTTATAATATGACTCATAAACACTCAAAGCACTGGCAGTAATAGGTGATTTAATATGTTTAAAGCCCTTTAGTAAATTCATGTAGGGCAAGAAATTTCTCTGAGGACATTAATAATTGTGATTATTTCTTATGCTGATAAACTCTTGAGTTAGAATTTTTACAGCCGGCCACACGGTTTTAGAAAATCAAGTAAAAATTAAGTGTCAGAGGTTTGGCAAATTTAACATGTATGAGTTATAGTCCATTTGTGTTGAAGAACTGGCTTCCAAGTAAGCAAAGTAGCCATTTTTAAGCTTAGAAACCTTCTTTTTTTTTTTTTTTTTCAAAATTGGACACACTTCTAAAGGCATAAGGCAGAGACCAGCTAAATATTAAATGCAAATTTGTTCCTTTTGTCAGCAATTTTATTTTATGACTGTGAAGGTGGAATTGTGGGTTTACTTTTGCAAAAAATTGGAGAGATTTTTATGCTTTTAATAAAAACTGGATGATTTTCTATTGGGTTGTGGAGAAGGACTCACCAAATTATGAGTATTTGAGACTTTGCTGGAAGCTATCTGTGGTAAGGGAAATTGCAGTATAATTGAATTGTAGATGCGCTATCATTTTAGGCCACTGTTGTTAGAGAAGATAGTACTTGTGAAAAGGTGGTTACTTTTCTTGGTGATGGAATTAAAGGCTTTTAGGGAGGATTCAGGCTCGAGGGGATAATGATAGTGATGGTTCTAATGCTCCCGAGTGCTTACGTCCTGCCAACCTTGCAAGCTGCTATGCATTCATATCTCTGAACCTTACAGTCCCGTGCATAGTGTTATTATCATCCCCATTTAATAGATTAGGAAATGGTGGACAGCATACAAATCCAAATAGCTCTGGATTCCTAAACACTGGTTCTTTTCTATCACACCCTCTTGTCTCTGTTCCATATAATCCACTCACCCTTTACTTAAATCCTCAAAGGTGCTCACTTTATCTCGGGGCAATATTTGTAGCATCGGACAGCTCTACTCATCCAAAAGTTCATTCTTTGAGATTATGTTTGTTTCTTTGTGGCTTCCACTTATTGGCTCCATGGGAGAAATATTAAAGATAGATCAGAGAGGGAAAGTAAAATAGGGAGTACTGAGAACATGAAGGTAGACCCCTGTGGAAGTTGAGGAGAAGGCTGTGTGTCTGGAGTTAACAGGATATAAGCACAGGAAGCTGTTCTATTTTCTCCCCTTAAATTGGAATTTTCATTCTCCAATGGTATGCCCGCGGCACTGTTAAAGGACTGAGGTGTTCTGTTATCCAGCCAGCAGGGGGAGCATTGAACTCGAATTGACATATTGTAGCGATAGAAAGGTCCATCCACTTGGCACTAGGTGTTCTTACTCTGCCTAGCATTAATAGATTCCATTTTAAAGATGTTGTTTAAGTTTTATTTCATCATTATTGTTGTTAATTAAGCCATTGGACACCAAGAGCAATACTACACTACAAAAATATGTTCACTTTGATAGTAAAAATGCATTGTGTGCTTTGCTTAAAAATGTCTTTAAATTTACGGTGAATCTCAATTTTAAGGATACCTTTCTAGATTCCAGTAAGATTGTTAATTTTGGCCAGAATTAATCCTATGTCTGGAGCTCAGAATAATAGGTTTGCTTTGGAGCAATCAGATGAAAAGATTTGGTTCTATTAGGTGATTTGAGGATCCCTGGAAAACAATTACAGTATTGTCCTCAAGACATTTTACAGTGCCAGAAATTGCAATAATTTTTAGGTTAAACTCTATCACTTTTCAAAATTAAAAAAACTAATACAAGCACATTTTACCTAAAAGGCATAGCTCAATTAATTGTCCCCCATTACTGAGTTTGTTTGCTCTTCTTTAAAAAGATTCTGAAGATTGGTGTATTTTTATGTTACAAAGTACAGGTCATAAGGTATATGTCAAGCCTAGTTAAAGCGTAGGACAGAGGACTCATACCAGAAAAGTGGAAGAATAAAAGACAAACCATTATTTACATTTGGACTGGTGCTGGTTGGTTCTCTCAGGTCTTAGGGTAGGAGAAGCAGCATGTTCTGAGTAAGACACCTAAGATGAGATATGAAAGTCATAGTTCAAGCCGGGTGCAGTGGCTCACACCTGTAATCCCAGCACTTTGGGAGGCCGAGAAGGGCGGATTACCTGAGGTCAGGAGTTCGAGACCAGCCTGACCAACGTGGCACAACCTGTCTCTACTAAAAATATCAGATTAGCTGGGCATGGTGGTGCATGCCTGTAATCCCAGCTACTAGGGAGGATGAGGTAGTAGAGTAGGTTGAACCTGGGAGTTCAAGCTGTAGTGATCCAAGATCGCACCACTGCACTCCAGCCTGTGCAACAAGAGTATAACTTCATCAAAAAAAAAAAAAAAAAAAAAAAAAAAAAGAGAAAGTCATAGTTCAGAAAAGTCCAGGGTTTAGCGATGTGGATAATACTTCTTTTGTGCAGTGGCTTATAAAGTCTAATTGGGACATGGACCCCTAGGAATATCAGATGAAATTTGTGGACTTTTCTTCCAAGAAAAATGCACATACCCACAAAGTGTATTTAACATGTGATTTCAGGAGTTCATTGATGCTCCTCCTCCCCTGAAGACCATCCTTGTTTAGTGCAATACTCTCTAAAATGGAAGGGGGTGGTGCATGCATCCCAGGGGCGTGCAGAATGATCCACTGGACTATGGACCCTTCTATGTGTATTTATTTTCTGTCTTTACAGATTTTTTTTCTGTAGAGGTTTTATATTGCATATACTAGCACCATAATATATACATAACATTTATATATAAGTAAGTAAATTTGTTGTAAGAACTCAAATTTTTACTGATAAGGAGGCATAACTCAAAATTGATACACTACCACTTTAGAGAGTGGTGCTAATTAAGTGTAAATTCTACACTCTCTTCTTCCTAAATTAGAGGGCCAGTGATCAGAAAATAAATCAAGAGGCTACCACCAGTGGCCAGGAAATTTTGGACCTAGTGATGACAAGTCTATTGTGCATACTTTACTCAGCACTTTCACACATGCCTGTTTTGGTACCCCCAGCAGTTCTGTGAGATGATATGTGTGGTAATGGCAATCTCTAAGAGCAGGCATGTTAACTAAAGCAGGCATGTTAACTAAATTCTCAAAAAACTTAAGAGACTTTCCCAAGGGCCCTGGGCTAGTCAATGGCAGAGCTGATACTCATAGCCTTGGCTGCTGACCACAAATTATGTGCTCATTTCACTGAAGAGCAGGGATAAGTCGCTCATTATGGGTTGTCTATGGCCCCATTGTTGGACTTACTAGTGCTCCCTAAGGATATGGAGTTGTCGAATCCCTGGCTGATCCAGGCACAAGGATAGAAAACATATTTTAGCTACTTGATCAGAGGGTTAGGAAGCTGAGCTAACAATTCAGCACTAGCTCTCTCCTGTTGGTACTGTAATACCAACATATTTCAAAATAGATAGAGGACTCTGGAAGGGTTTAGATACATCTATGTACAAAAAAGATTTACAATGGGTTATTAAATGGGAGTTCTGAGGCTGGCTTCACAAGAAGTGCCAACTGCTCTTTCTCCCAAATTTCCCCTGGTGCCACTGTCAAAGGCAAAGTACTCATCTAGATGGATTTTTGTTCTGACCCAGAATGACATTTCCAACTTTTCTTATATATAATCCAATTTCTGAACTTCCTTTACAGTGATATTAAGTGGAATAGCATAAAAAAGTCTTTTGGCATTAAAGATAATAAATGTATTCAGCATTGCTCAGGTATCTTTGCTCTTTGCCAATGCATTAGCTGTATTGATTTTAGAATTTTAAATGACCCTTTTTACTAGACTTGATTAATGTCCCCTCCCTAGATCTTGGCTACCTGCTTCTTCTCTCTTTCATGTGCAATTTTCTTCCCTTTCACACTCCTACAAGTTAGAGGTGGCTGACCTTCACTCCACCAAGGGTCAAGAAATGTTGTGAGGAGTATGCTTTGGGCCTGGTGATCAGCCTCTAAAGAGTGGGCTCGTCATGGAAGGGCCAAGTCTTCAGTCTATTGCTCTATGTCCACATTTGAGTCTAGGCCCTGGGAACACTCACAGTGGACCTCCTGGCTTGGTAAGTACCAGGCTGTTTTAATATGTGACTTCCAGAGAAGAAGGATTGAGCCAGAGAGCTTGAAGGTGAAATGAGATCTCTATCAAGAGAGGCCAGTTCAATCCAAATATCAGTTACTGTGTGAGACAAAGGTTAATTTCCCGAGACTCCCTCTAATTAATTAATAGTGTCTTCTGTTATCCTCAGAGGATATGTAATTTAAAATTCTGTTCACACATTATTTTATTCTGCCTCTGGAACCGCACTATAAGCTCCCTGAGCTCCCTGAAGATGCTGTGGCCTGGTAGAGCTTTGTACACCCTCCCAAGCTTCTCTCAGGATGGCTGGTCCATGGTGGATGATGACCCTTAGGCCAGGCTTGTCCTTCTCTTCAGGAAACAGGTGGGTGGGAGGTTGACCACTCCTTCCCTGGAGATGGCTACTCCTGAACCAGATTCTTTTCACTTTTGACTGCTTCTTTCATAATATTTTAAGAGTAAATTTGTTGTAAATAATAATGTAATATAGCTACATTGTTGCAAATTTGAAAATTTTAGGCCTAAAAATCATCCTTAAACTTCTATACAAATGTGCCTACTCTCAGCATTTTTTTACATGTATATTTAAAATATCTAATTATAATGACAGTGTTCTTGAATATTAGATTTTCAAGATTGAAAATTCTATTCTAAGAAGTTTTTCTTTTGTTAAATCATCCTTATAAATGTTATTGGGATACCAAAATTTATTTCACTATTCATCCTATCGTTATCTATTAGATATACTGTAATTTGTTTCCTCATTGTTTACTGGATATACCATAATTTGTTTCCTCATTGTAATCCATTAGGTGTACCATTATTTATTTGACTATTTTCAGTTGTCTCACACTGATGATGATTAAGTGATTATTAAGTGAGCATTGGCTTAGGAAATCTGCTAATTCAGATTCAGTTTGACAAAGGTCATTATTATTATTTAGCATGGCTTTTGCCTCTAGCAGGTACTCAATAAATGCGTTTTATTTTTTTTTGCTATAAGTCTGAGGGTATAGTTCATATTTGATCCAGAGATTTCTGTTTTATCATGTAAGTTTGCATGGTCATTTTAATTACTAATTTATAGAGAGTACCAGCATTCGGATCCCAGGAGTTATCTTTATATATGGTTTGGTCAGATATATATATTCCTTCTTGTCAGACACAGAATATTAGAGCTACAAAGGACTATGGCAGTAACCTCATCAGGTGGTCCTTCAATTGGTGCACATCTGAATTTCACAGGATGCGTAAGAATAGCAATTTCTTACTAAATCTGAATTTGGCAGATGAGGACCAGGAATCTGCATTTTGATTAGGAGACCTTGCTAACTTTTTAAGGTTAATATTACATTTTTACCATGTTCAGTCTTTTGCCTTTAAAACTAATTGAATCTTGAGATGACTTATAACACAAGGCAAATATTACAATCACAATTATGTTCTGCAACAGGAAATAAGCTCTAAATGAATCTTAACATTTTACTTGACACATTACTATGTTTAAGTGTATTAAAGATGTTATTGAAAGGTGCAGGGGAGGAAAATGAACTTGATTTGGCAGGTAGGTGTTCGTGGTACTATTATCCACAACTGTCTATCCTGATTGACAGCACACACATTACCTCTTAACAGGCATTGTATTCAGTTGCCTCAGATTTAAGTGTATGGCATTTTTACTGAATATTTGAAACTGTTTTAGTTAATAGTATTAATTGCTCATAGACCAACTTTCAGCCACTGTTATAAAGTGCTTAATATATAATAAACCAAGTTTCTATAGACCTTTGGTTATAGTAAAATTAGGTCAAAAATGCCATGTTGCTTAAATATTACATATTTTGAGTAGGGCAAATGCTTAATAGTGCTGAAAAGGAATTTTTTCATATTATAGCTATGGAAACTGAAATGCAGAGGCTCAGAGTTTCAAGGTCACTCAGCCACAAGGAACAGAGCCAGAACTGGAGTTCAGCTCTCCTGGGTCCTCGTTCTCTGCTCTTTCTACCACACCAAACTGCCCTTTTTGCATAATTTCTATCTAATCAGAGGCACTTGGTCTAATGGCTGGTAGAGATGCATATTTATATTGCAAAGAGCATTGAAGCAAGGAATTTTACTCAATATGTTCTTTTGGAAAACCAAACATGCTTTATTTCATTTTTTTCACAATTTATTTAAACATCTCACATATACAAAATAGGTACAATTTAATTTTTCTGCTTGCCCAAGAAACAAAGCTTCTGTGGAACCATGGAAGAAGATGAAAATGAGACTGGCAAAGAACAAATGCTGAATCTGAAGAAGATTTGGGCAAATAATCTGCATACTTTTAATTGGGAATAAGATGGAAAATATGAATGCTAAATCAAATTTTTTAAAAAATACACCACACGATACAACTCAATACAGGAGTATTTCTTCTCAAATTCTTCTAGCACCATCAACATTCTTCAAGTATCTGAAATACTATTAATTAGCACCTTTGTATTATGAACAAAACAAAACAAGGACCTCAGTTCATCTCTGTCTAGGTCAGCACCTAACAATGTGGATCACACTCATGGGAAAGTGTTTTGAGGTAGTTTAAACCTTTGGAAGTTTGGGTTTTAAACTTCCCTCTGTGGAAGATATTCAAAAGCCACAAGTGGTGCAAATGTTTATGGTTTTTATTTTTCAATTTTTATTTTGGTTTTCTTACAAAGGTTGACATTTTCCATAACAGGTGTAAGAGTGTTGAAAAAAAAATTCAAATTTTTGGGGGAGCGGGGGAAGGAGTTAATGAAACTGTATTGCACAATGCTCTGATCAATCCTTCTTTTTCTCTTTTGCCCACAATTTAAGCAAGTAGATGTGCAGAAGAAATGGAAGGATTCAGCTTTCAGTTAAAAAAGAAGAAGAAGAAATGGCAAAGAGAAAGTTTTTTCAAATTTCTTTCTTTTTTAATTTAGATTGAGTTCATTTATTTGAAACAGACTGGGCCAATGTCCACAAAGAATTCCTGGTCAGCACCACCGATGTCCAAAGGTGCAATATCAAGGAAGGGCAGGCGTGATGGCTTATTTGTTTTGTATTCAATGATTGTCTTTCCCCATTCATTTGTCTTTTTCTGTTTAAAGAGAAGAAAATAGATACACAAAGCATCACTATTTCTGAATCTGATAATATCTGAACCTTTGATTTAATAAGAACCACTGTTTGGCATGTGTCATTCTGAAGATGTCTGTCCCAGATAAATAAGTTCATCCTTGAAATAACAGTATCAAGGGTGTCTTTAGTGGGAGGGGCTCCCTATCAGTCTAACAAAAAACAAACAAACAAACAAACCAAAAAAACCAACAACATTTCAACACACATTCCAAGTGACCTATCTCTACAAAGTCATTTTTAGGATTGTTGTGTGTATGTCCCTCTATGTGTGTCTTTGGGAGCGGGACCTGGGTGGGTATGTAGTCTTGCTGTTAGTGAATTTTAATTTTTCTTATATTTATAGCATATTGTAGAAAAAGCATTAAAAGTTAAATGTAGGCCATACTAATAAGTAAAATAAAATACACATAACTATAAATTATAGTTTAGGCCACTGAAGTCTCAAGAAATTTTAAGTTCTGGGCACACATTACCATTTAAAAAACATGCTAAAGAAAAAACAATGCATGGACATAGTATACATTTCAGCATTTCAGAAGGCACTATCTGATAAGAATACTCTGAATTTATCATCTGAATTTAAGTACGAAATTAATACGTATAAATAAATAAATATAAAATACATACAAAAACTGAATTTACTTATGAAATAAGTTAGTTCTCTCATTCTTCTGTTCTTTTAACCCCCCTTTAGACCCCCCCTTGGGGGCAGTCTAAGTTAGAACCCCCTCCATCCCACTTCCCAAAGCTATTCCCATATTTCACTATTACTTACAGAGCAGCCATCTACAAGAACAGTGTAAGTGAACCTGCTGTTGCCCTCAGCAACAAGTTCAACATCATTAGAGCCCTGTAGAATGACAGCCTTTTTCAGGTTGCCAGTCTCCTCATCCATGTATGCAATGCTGTTCTTGCAGTGGTAGGTGATGTTCTGAGAGGCATAGTTGGCCAGCAGGCGCATGAAGGCAAGTTGGGTAGCCATTTCCTTGGAAGTCACTCCTTCTACATTATATTCAAACTACAGAAAATAGGATGAAATTCCAGTTAAGTGGAGAAGGACTCAGATACTAAGAGTCAAACATGAAAAAAAAAAAAAAGAAAAAAAAAGATCTCAGGAAGAGTAGACTCAGATCCAAGCTTAGGAAAAGGGTACTTTTAAAGAAAACTTAATTCACTTGTCTTTGAAGTATCAGTTACCTAGATGAACATAAGACCTACTAGACTGAGGCAAGGTCATCTAAAAAAGTTATCTGTTTCAATTAATCCTTTTTGCATATGCTTCTTCTTTAGAATAAGAGAATGAGGAGGTAGAAATTCTGACATTTTTCTTTTTCTGTCATTTTGTAATTTATGGAATTCCAGTAGGCATTCAGTAAAGTTGGTGAAAAGGTTTGATTAAAAATTCAGAAAAGCTGCTCACATTCTGAAAATGCATATGTATGAGTGTGGCATATAGCTGGCCAGTGCTCCTTCACACTAAATGACATTAGTCAGTTTTTTCAATGATTACCAATTAAGTCAAATTTGAATAATAACTTTGAATTACATGGATGTGTCCAATCAATCCATCTTCTAATGTGCAATTTAGGACAAAATTGGAACCCAGGAAAGGAACAGGTCTTTTTTTAATAAGCCCATTTTTGTCAGAGATTAAAATGCAGATAATTAACAAACAGTCCTACCAAAATATTATTTAGCAGAAGGAGAGGTGTTTGTGGGATTCCTCACCTGGCTGCCAGCATTGATAGTTTCTCCTAGCCAGACGTGTTTCTTGTCCTTGGAGCTCCTATACCAGTTCTTGGCTGGGATGTTTTCAGGTTGGGCCCGGATACAGGTTTCGCCAGTAGAGAAATCACAGTATACTTTGATAGCATCCATAGTGCATCCTTGGTTAGGGTCAATCCAGTAGTAACCTTTTAAGAAAATAACATTCAGATCATGAAACTTCTCATTGAGCAGAACACAGATTCTAATAATAACTAATGAAAGATACTGACTCTCATAAGTAACATTTTTGATTGTCTACCCCATATTTAAGAGGAAGAGGGTGGCTATTTTTAAGATTAGACAGTTCCTTCCCTCCCCTCCTCCATGAAAAATCAAATCAGGGTACTTATTACTATGAAAAGTGCAAAAATACATTTTAAGGGAAATGAGGTTGGGTGCTGGTTGGGAGAAGATGACGCTCCATTAATTGGGTGTGATTTCACATAATGTAATCTTTACCCAAATGCATTTTCACTCTAAATGTCAATGGAAACTAATTTTGAAAAGCTCAACTTGTGAGAAGGGTCAGTCTGGTCTGGACATCTTGACCTACCACTGCTCCACTCTGGGTGGCTGAGTCTCAAGTCACGGCATGTGCGAGCTGGGTTCTTTCTAGAGCCTTCAGGAGTAAGAAGGGTCTCAATCTGGTTGTTGAGAGACTTCAGAGTAGCATCAACTTCATAGTCCTTGGGTCTGAGAGAAGGTGCTGAGCGAGGCTGGTCAGCCCTGTAGAAGTCTCCATCGTAACCAAAGTCATAACCACCACCGCTTACACCTGGAGGTCCAGGAGGGCCAGGGGGACCAGGGGGGCCCTGCAAAGGTGAAAGTGAGATAGGAGAGGCTTTATATTTTGTTACAGTGAGAGACATCCATGGCAGCAGATTTTCAGTTGAGCTTCACACGGAAGCATGTTCTCATCAGTAAAAAATAATCAAGTTCACATAAATAAATAACGAGCCCCCAGGCACACTTGCAGGGATGGACTTAACAAGCCCATTGCATATAGACAATTTCCAGATATTTTAGAGGATATATTGAAATGGGGCTAACTTTAATGGGTTGTCAAAGTTGTCTTGGTTTAGTCTGAAGAAAACATTCCTTAGGTCCGTGATCTTCTTTATTATTTCCCCAAATCATACTTACAGCAGGGCCTTGGTGACCCTGAGGGCCTCGAATGCCAGCAGGTCCAACTGTACCAGGATGTCCAGTGCGACCATCTTTTCCAGCAGGGCCAGAAGGACCAGCAGGGCCCTAAGGAAGACAGACACCAGGTACATGTGAGCTGGTGAATCCCACCAAGGGAGCAGCAGCCTGGGGCTCACTGCTCGCTTTAGCCTCTATTTCAGAGATGAACTGTCTTCTCTTGAGTCCACCTACCCTAGGACCAGCAGGACCCACGGAGCCAGGAGCACCTTGATCACCATGGTGACCCTTTAAAGACAGAAGAGGAAAATCACACTTTCAGAGCACATGTCAAGAGACATATTTTTTTTTTTTTTCCAAATTGAATGGGAAACTTTAGTTAAATGGACTCCGGATTGAGAAAATTGAAAATGTAAAGTGGGGCTCTTTTCTCCCATTATGTCTATTATATTCAATTTTTTTTTCACAACCTATTTCAGCAGTGCAATATTAGTCATTCCTCTAATTATGTTTATTTTAAGTGGGGTTGAAGGACATTGTTACCAGGAGATTTTATTGTATGTCTATTTCTATCTCCCTTAATCCTCACCTTTCATGTTGGTATGAAATAGCATTACCTCCAAGAGTGAGATGGAGTTAGCCAGAGAATGGGAAATGGATATTATATAGGCTATACTGGAACAATAGCAGTGAAAATATGAAAATCCTTCTGAGCTGAAGGCCTTCAGGATCAGTTTATGTGCGAGATGGCTACAGTTTACTTACAGCGATACCAGGCAGACCTTGCAATCCATTGTGTCCCTTTAAGCCAGGAAGACCTCTGGGCCCCTTTTCACCGGGCTCTCCCTTATCGCCACGAATGCCTTGTGGGCCCTATAAAGAAACAGAAGGATGGATAAGACTTACCGTTTTAAAAAAATGGCACTCACTTCACCACAAATACTGCTTAATTCGTTTACAAAGGTAACTCAGGACATGTAATGGTTTAGCTAGGCTCTCACCTCTGCTGGTAATCTGCTTTAGTTGTGCTATCTGTAAAGTGGCTAGATCCTTGTAATTGTTTAATACAAACAAGCATAAGAGATTTAAAATAGCTCAAGTTATTTGTATCAATTCTCAGCATGGACTGAAATTTTTAAAAAATATTAAGTCTAGCTGATATATTGTTTATTTTCTTAACAGATGTTTTGGACTGATTCTCTCTAAATGTTAGTGTTGCAAAGAAATCTTCAGCATGTACATACACTAGGACCTCTTGGGCCAACAGCACCAGCAGGACCAACAGGACCAGAAGGACCCTGTGAAATGAAAAAGAAAAACACAACTTAGCTAGGCCCAAGATACCCCTCCCCACTCCTCCACCATCCCCAAGTGTGGGGAAGTCAGAAGTGAAGCCCACGAGAATGCTGCACTGAGGGACTGGTATTCACAAACTTACAGTTTCACCACGGTTTCCATGTTTGCCAGCAGGACCCACGGGGCCATGAGGACCAGGTGCACCTGCAGCACCAACGGGACCAATATTGCCAGGGTAACCGCGCTCTCCCTACCAAAGGCAAAATGAAGCTTAGCATCAATCTGGGTTGCATTTTAATCACTTTTGAATTAGAGAAAGATGAAAAGTGTACTGACCTTGTGTCCGGGTTGACCATCGCGACCTGGGGGACCATCGTTCCCAGGGTTGCCCTGTGAAGACACCACACAAATTAAGGCTGTTGGTGAGGCTCTGCTGCCTACCAGCCCCTATGTTGTAGCTACTCTGTCTTCATCACTTCCAGTGCTCAGTAACGAACCCTCTTTCAGACTGTTAAAACTAGGGATAAAAACCTGCCAACCTAGATATTTTTTAGAGATGTTTTAAATACTTGGGCCCAGTTTTGCAGTGTGCTATTGAAAAGCCCATTCTTTGGCCTAAGCAATTTTCATATTTTCAGTACTAGGTGTAGATACTATGGAGAAGCTGACCATCTTGTTCAGAAATTTGGAAGAAGAGAACCTCAGCTCAGGACATAAAGTTTCACACAATGAAATCCTGCTCAGTTTTATTTTACAAACCAAGTGTTGGACTCACATCACGACCAGCTTCACCAGGAGCACCGTTGACTCCAGGACTACCCACAGCACCAGGAGGACCACGGGCCCCAGGAGGGCCGGCAATGCCAAGAGGACCAGGTTCACCCTAAACAGGCAGAGAAGATAAAATGACATTCCCCTTATTCGATGGAATGCTAACCTTCCCCTCCAAAACAACCCTACTCAGGAGATTCTAGTTTGAAGGAAGAAGGTAAATTGAATGTGAATGGGTCACACAATGGTAAGAAGTATCATTAGTATCATCTCTGCCCTCCTTCTCCACATGTAGATGGCCAGCTTTATGTAATCACGGGATGTTGCTCTGTAAAAAGTGAGCCTCGTGTCATTCAGTATCCCAAATGAAATGAATTCAAAAAGTTGATATATTTTATGGAGATGAGATGGTTTCTAGTTGTTGTCACGTATAAGGTTTAATGGAACGATTCAGAACTTCCAGAGTTTCATTCTTCCTACAGGATAAATGATGCCAGCATTTCATATTGCAGAGGAGTAAACGCAATTAGAGATTGTATCATTCCTAAGTGCGTGGAAAGAACAAAAATCATTCTGCATAATTTTAAGCTGTGTCTTTATAGTGTGTGTCTAAGTAAGGTGGTATTAAAGCTTCTTAGATAAGTGACATGTGATCTGTATAAAGAAAATGCCATGAATAAAAATCTTAAGTGAAGTTATTCAGTGATCAATCTGTCACATTTGAAGTGGCAGCTTTTAAAATCTTTTCTTATGTTAATGGAGTCAGAATACTGTCAAGCACTCACCACAGCACCAGCAACACCTGGTAGACCACGTTCACCTCTCGAGCCAGGGAGACCCAGAATACCAGGAGCACCAAGAAGACCCTGAGGACCTGGAGTGCCAGGAGGTCCCTAAATAGAGAAAAAATACTGAGTATTATGGGTAAGACCCTAGGTGATAACACAGGTTGGCTTGAAGATTGTGAGAATAAACTGTCTTCAGCTTAGAAAAAGGCTAATGACCTCCTATTACTAGGACATATCCTTGGATATCTTTTCTCTAGTGATGACGGTGAGTTTACATCTTGGCATGAATACTTTTGTATCTGATTCATCCTTGAGACCAATGGCACAACATTTAAAAATATGTGGTTGAGATTTATAAAGACACTTGGGGTGGTGAAATAGAGTTTTTATAGCCTCTAGGCAGGGAAACAAATAAAAAAATTTAAATTGTTATGGATACATAATAGTTGTACATAGTAGGAGGGGTTCCTCAAAAAACTAAAAATAGAACTACCATAAGATCCAGCAATCACACTGCTGGGTATATACACAAAGGAAAGGAAATCAGGCTGGGTGGGGTGGCTCACATGTGTAATCCCAGCACTTTAGGAGGTCAAGGTGGGTGGATCACCTGAGGTCAGGAGATCGAGACCAGCCTGACCAATATGGTGAAACCCCGTCTTTACTAAAAATACAAAAATTAGCTAGGCATGATGGTGTGTGCCTGTAGTCCCAGCTACTCGGGAGGCTGAGACAAGATAATTACTTAAACTGGGGAGGCGGAAGTCGCAGTGAGCTGAGATCGTGCCACTGCACTCCAGCCTGGGCAACAGAGGGGAACTCCATCCCAAAACAAAAAAACAAAAACAAAAACAAAAAACAAAAACAAAAAGGAAATCAGTAAAATCAGTATATCAAAAGGAAGCAAATTTTGACTTTGGCCTCTAAGGTCTAATAGGGGCACCTTTCAGAGTAGCACTAATACTGGACAGTGTATGTTTAAGAAATTGGTAGCCTACTGAGATTGATTAATATGTAGTAGGATGGCCACAGCAATGGGACTCTGTTCTAATCCTGGTACCAGTAAGGTGCCTTCAATAGCTTTAAGGGCTTTGTGATAAAACTGAGTTCCCTCATTTATTGTCTTCCCGATTTTGTGCTTTCTGAGCATCTTGGAAGCCACAGCCCCTCAGTGTGTGCTGGACAGATTTCCTGGCTCAACTGAGCTCTACTTGAGAGCCTGCAATACTCATCAACAAATAGATGCCACTTGAAGATTTGTGTAGGGGCTTTATTTTAATTCAGCATAAGGTATTAAGAAAGAGGAGTTGGAAATCACTTACAGCAGTACCAGCCTCTCCAGAGGGACCCTTCTCACCAGCGAAGCCAGGGGGACCAACTGCACCTACTTCTCCAGTTCGGCCAACTGGACCTTGGTCACCACGAGGACCACGAAGCCCTTCTTTCCCAGCAGGACCAGGGGGACCAGGAGGGCCAGAAATACCCTATGAGCAAATGTACAAGGTCATTTCCTTTCTGTTAATCACCAAGGGCCTGGAAGAGAGCAGCAAAGATTCTAGATCTTAAGATGCAAACAATGTGATGCAATAAAATAATACCCTGGCCATTTGGGGGAAATATTTATAGTTTTTAACCTTCTTTCTTGCAGAAAGAAGCAACTCCTGTCTTCCTTTATGAGGCTGTAACCAACCAAATAATGGAGGAGAGACTATGGCAAATTTCTATGAGGAAAAACAATGTCATGCCACTGGTACCCTGGCATATTGGAATCAGAACTATGTAGAATGATAGGAGTTAATGATAAATGAATGGGACTCTGAGTTTCGAAGGACTTTGCCTTTTCTTTTTTCTTCTTTTTTTTTTTTTTTAAAGAAAGCCAATATACGTGTTTTGTTCATAATTGAGGAATCCCACACACTTCTCAACTAGGTTTAATTAAATGCCTACAGGGAATGAAGATTTTTCTGTTATGAACCTGTAAAAGGATTCCAAGAAATCAACATCTTTGCTATTTTTTTTTCCCAGAAACCTTAACCAGAAGACTTAATCCTTGGTAATTAATTAAATTTTCTTGAGTCCTGACAGGAGAGTCTGAATCAGAATTAAATTAGAGGCCAAACCACCTTTAAATTCAGGAACAATTATACCTTAACAATGGAGGCAGAATGTTAGCCATAAAGGATAATTAGATATAGAAATATCTGATATGTGGCTAAAACTGTTCGTTTTTTTGTTTTTTTTTTTTCAAAAAGACCATGCCCCTGAAAGGGGACTGGTGTTCACATGAATAAAAGCCTCTTAAACTGATATTATAAAATATAACTTGTGATGAAATACCTTAATGGTTCAGAAAAGCTGACTTCAGACCAGGAGAGTAATAGCGAATATTAGTGATGTGTTTTCATGAAGAGTTTCTTACCAGTTTCCTATCAGAAGCCAGGCCTTTTGGCTAGAGTAAATGAAGACACGTTTACAGTGATTTACTTACAGAGGGTCCTGGGGGACCAGTCCGTCCAGCAGCACCAGGGAAACCAGTCATACCCTAAGAGCCAAGCACATTAGAATTCCACAGTCAACATCAACTCCAAGAATTTGGGTAAGATGGGAATTTCTTTGTTTTGGAAAATCAGTACATGTGACCAGGAATAGACCAAGGAGTAGGAGGTAGGCAGCTTCATATAGGGCATTATTTAGCCAGGACCCTGAAGGCCCTCCTTCTCCACACATCTTCCTTACCAGCATATTACCAGTTGCAATGCCCATATTTTGCGTTAAGGTTTGGATGGTCCTTTCTGAAATGCTGACATATTATCTTATGGTTGTAAAGGTATGAAGATAAGACACTATGTCATTATTACACATTAATGTGTATACATTAATAACTATCTTTACCACCTGGCTGAGTGGTAAGGAAATGGACACTTAATAGGTAATGGTGTTCATGGACAAAAGAATAACAAATGACCTAGATAATTCAGCACTGTCCAGTGAGAGAAGAAGTCAGTAAAGTTCATTTTTGGGGAGCTCTGGGTCTCTAGAGAATTGTTGTGATAGCATTGCCTGCAAAGGAGAAGGACATGGTCAGGCAGAAGAAGGGGCATATTAATAAACGCCAAAAGGAATATTTTTTCCGACTTTACAATTAAACTGCCTAGGGCCCACCTTGGTTATTACCTCAAGTGAGCTGATAGCAACATACACTGAGTTCCAGCTGAGTTCAAGTTAACATCAATATCGGAATTGCTCTGAATAGAATGAACTTGAATCTCAAAAGTTTCCTCATGGTAGTCCAAATTTACCAAAAATTTCAAAACTTTCAAGTGTCCTTAATAGATTCTGAAAAAAGAAAAGCGGCGAGAGTCCATTGTAAATACTCACAGGGGGGCCTCCATCACCACGACTTCCAGCAGGACCGGGGGGACCATTTGGACCCTAAATGCAAACAAAAAGATGGAGTCAAATCACAAACAAACCCTTGTAAATGCTACTCTTTTCTTCAAGTGGATCATTCCCGCATCTCTTAGAAGAAAATATAGAAATAAAAAATGACTATCTGTGTCAGAATGTTCTTCAATATTACCACCCTTATGAGGTTATCAGAGAATTAAAATAAAACAATATTCATGAAACTTTTATACTTTGTAAAGCAGTGTGCAAATGTTAATCCTTCCGTTATTTTCCATCTTCTATCTGGTATATTCCCTGTTGCATAGCAGGCACTTGACGGATATATATTTAATTGGAAGATCTAATGGGTAGCTGCTGTGTGGACCACCAGTGAATTCAACTTACAGCTGGGCCAGCAGCTCCAACGGGGCCTGTGGGACCAACAACACCGTTTTCACCCTTAGGCCCTTTGGCTCCTCTTTCTCCTTTAGCACCAGGTTGACCAGCAGCACCCTGTTGGAAATAAACAGTTACAGCTCTGGTATTCCGACCCACTCTACTCCCCAACTTAGGATGTTTTCAGATTAATCTTCATTATGTGATACTCACAGCAGGACCAGCAAATCCATTGGGGCCAGCAGGACCGACCTCACCACGTTCACCCTAGGTGGGAGAAGGGATTTAAAAATGTGTTATCAATCCTAGGTTCATCAATGTCTAAACATTGTGAGGTGTGAGTATACAAAATGACCCAGGTTCTTACTTACAGGGCTTCCCCGAGGACCAGCAGGACCAGCAGGACCAGCAGCCCCAGCTTCGCCCTATAATGGGACCAAAGATGAATCTGTTAATGTGCCTGACATAGATGCTCAAAGAACTGGGAGGGAGAGAGAACAGTGGTGGACAGACAGAGTCTGTAGTTGCCTTGGAAGAGATAACTGACGCACATCTCACAGAGTAAAATGAAGTGGATTTTTACTTAATGCTATATTCATTTTGGGGGTTAAGTAGTATGGGTTATACACTTGAGAAAACACTATAAATCAGTGCCTACAATACCAGGAGGAGGACATTTTAATTTTTAGATGGACACGGGGCTGATCTATTTGTGGCAATCTTTGCAATACAATAAATAAGATCTATTTTAAGTGGAGAGTTCAATGTGAAATGGGCACACTATGTATTTTATTGATTTTTTGGTAATAATTGAAGGCTTTGAGAAGCCTCAGTGCATTAGGATATTGTTAATGCGCAACATGGAGAGACTTTAAAACAAATGCTAGGGATTAGAGTATAGATCAGATAGCTGGCAAATCTATAGGAAGGGAAAAGTAATTTTAAACACACAGCATTTGTTTCCTGCTGCTCTATCACAATAGCTAGGTTTTTAAATAAGTAGGCTTTATACCAAGCCATAAAAATGAATTGCTGGGGCTCTTTGGGACTAGGGAAGGCGGGAAATTTTAGATATTGCTGTTGGCTTAGTGAAAATGCATGCTTACCCGGTCACCTGTGGCTCCAGCAGGACCAGGGGCACCTACAGCACCAGGAGCACCCTAGTACCAAAAAGGAAACATGTCTTATTAATAACACCCCGTATCATCAAAAGTGAACCTTGTCATTCTTTTTTTCTGTGCTTATACAGTGACTGAACACTTTCACTGCACTCTGGTTGGATATCTAGAAGGCCTCTGATGTATTTTGGTTCTAATTAACAAGACTATTAGAAGCCACTCTCAGAAGGAGGGTACTCCAGTAATAAAGGTTATGGAAATGTGTAAGTCAATAGCAGGTCAGAAATTTGGGAGATCTGAACTTTCCGCTATTGTAAAATTCCCTGGAGAGCAGCAAATGAGTAGCCTTGTTTGAAACTGTTAGAACTACGTGATTCAAAAGAAAGACTATTACAGATGTGCTACAGTCAGTTTTCAGCTCTGAAGGAGAGGTGAATAAAGGAATCCAGGCCGACTGTGGCCTAGAAGACCCATGAGGCTGACATACGAGATAAGGTAATTAGACTGTCATGGGATTATCTTTGGCATCTTCATGGCATTAACAGCTAATCTTTGGGGCTGCTCTTTGGGTGATAAATTTCTAGGGAGTAGGTTTGAATAACTATAGAATCTTGTTAGAGGTCCCGGCTTCCTAAAGCATAGGAGACTTATTTATTTATTTATTTTAATCTCTGTTATCACTTGAAGCAATCATTTAATATTCTATTAAACCTAAAGCTTTTGGTCTATAGTTTGTAGTTGGTATCATTGACACTAGGGAAGTTAGAAAATTCAGGATATTATTTTCAAAGAGGTTAAATCCCATTTAATTTTTCCTTTGGAACATGTAAAATGATATTATTAGTCATAGACCCAGGAGAGAAAGGAATATTATTTTATTAAACTTGATAAATAAAGTGTGTGTAGTTCTAATTTGGAAAACTTCTCAATTCAAACATAAAAAAAAAATCCAAGTACGAAGAAACATACAAACAAAATTCTACTCACACGAGCACCATCTCTGCCAGGGTTACCAATTTCACCTCTGAGACCAGGTTCACCCTGAAAGTATAAAGCAAGAGCAACTTTTTGTTTTCTGACCAAAATTTTGAATCGAAATTAATATGAAGTTTTTTTCTTTTTTACAGAAGATGCTATGATACCTTCAGTCATTTAAGATTTTTAGCAATGTCTCGATTCCTTACCATTCTGTAGAATGTTAATCGAGAAAAATAATGAGGAAAAAATAATTCAAGGCCATTTCCAGATTATTGTTAAACAATCTTTTCTAATTTCCGTACACTCTCCTGAAGCATAATCAAGCAAGGTACAGATTCATGTGGACAGAATTGTAAGGCAACATCACAATGGGCTGCAGCGCCTGATCACTCTTACGGCATAACTAATGCAGCAGCATGGTTGACAGCTGTTCAATGTAGCTTCTTCCCATTAATTAGGACAGGATGAGGCATTATTGTTAGTGGCATTAAAATGAGCCTCATGTATTACTCAACACCATCTGTTTGTGTGAAATTCCATGGTAGCAAGGAATTTTGCCAGATTAGTGAGTTTAGAAATGTGTAGGTGCTAGGTGGCAGAGGGAAATGTATATAGATAGATATGAAAATGCTACCAGACCACCTGCCAAGAATTGTGAAAACTTGGGCATCCTTGTGCAGCCTTCTTTACTAGAGTTCATCAACAATATGTAATAGGGGTCAACACGTACCTTTTCTCCCTTGCCTCCAGGTATGCCAGCAGCACCCCTCTCTCCTGGGAGTCCACTAGGACCAGATGGACCAGCAGTGCCCACAGCACCAACCACACCAGGTTCACCCTTGAGTCAAACACATGTGAAATCAATTTTAGTGGAGAAAGAAGAAAATGAAGAATCAAACTCTAGAAGAATTCCAATTTAAACAGCTAGCTAGACAGGCTTCTTGCCTGCTTTGAAACACAAAGAAGGCTGGGCTATTGAAAGGAGGGAGAATATAGCAGAGAGAGATGCTGTTAATGACATGGTGACTGAAGAGATGAGGGTAGTGGGAGTGCACAGCTGCGATTCCTCTATAACCTGCTTCAGTCCTCTTAAGGATGGCAGGCATGGAGAAGAGGATAGGACAATGGGAAGCAGAGAGTAAAAAATGTTTACCCACAAACATTTTTCAAGGATAAGTCTCTTAGCCCAGATAGAAAGCATGGAAAGAGACCTTGTCAATTGAGGAGATGTTTGTGTTTTAATCTCCTTAAGAGTAGAGACTGTATCTTCCATTTTTATATAAAACCCTACAATTCCACATACTTAAAACCTGTTGACTAGCTTCTGAGATACATAGATCCCTTTGAAAGTACTACCTCACAAAACCGTGGTTTCTTTATTTCCTCTCTCCCTTTTATGTTTTTATTTTTTTCCCAAGAACATCCTTCCATACACTAAAATAGCTTTTTGCAACTAATGTTTACATTTTTTCCCCTAGAGTTAAGAATGAAAATAATATGTGTTGTCTTCTTTTTATTGTGGTTAAGGTAATCTCTTTTTCAGGAATGTATATTAAATCTATTTTAAAATCTAAACCACAGATTCTATTTTGGAACACAAGTTTCCAGACAAATTTTTGGGGGTGAATGTATTGCCCAATGAATTTTCATCATCATAAACTCTTATTATTAAAAGTCAGACTACTTGTTGAAATTTTACTCTATGGGATGAGATGTTAAGATAAAAAGTTATTTTCTCTGAAAATAATGTCCAATGAATACAATGTTTCTAGATTAAAACAAAAGCATAAACAGCGTGAGGAGAAAAGAGTGACAACCCATACTAATTCATTTATGTTTTGGGAACTCTGAATTTTCCCCCACAGTTTGTTGCTATTGTTTGTTTGTTTAGAATAATTCAGGTCCACTGGAATCGGATTGCTGTTTACTGAGAGGGAAGTCATCACAGAACTGGAAATAAATAAAAATCTGAAAAACAATTATCTTTCTATTGTAAAGGGTCTACTTATTCCAGGCAGACTGGGCCAAACCAGCAATATAGAAAACATAAGATTTTACCTTGTTTCCATCAGGCCCTGGGGGTCCAGAAGGACCTCGGCTTCCAATAGGACCAGTAGGACCGGCAGCACCACTCTCACCTGGGGGACCGCGTTCCCCCTGAAAAAAGTGATTAGAAGAAGTGTTGCACCATTCATCACTTTCAGTGATACTGTTTTACATATGAGAGTTTACATTTGTGTAGCTTCCGAGCCCTGGTTTGCATTTATTAGCAAATTAAAATTTCTTTTGTTCCTAATCTCTCCACTAGTAAAATGAAGAGATTGATGAGATATTCTCTAAAGTGTCACTTAGCTCTAATGTTCCATGACTACGACTCCAGAATTCGTTGCTTCTAGAGTATAATATTCAATTTTTGCAATTCATTCCCCTTCTTTGAGGAGTCTTTTCTGTGATAAATCCATAGGTAAAAACAGATGCCAGTTATGTGTAGTATTCAAAGAAAAGATTGTGTCATTTTAGTTGAATAGCAATGGCAGGTGTAGATAACATTAGATATTCTCCTATCTATGCCCCCTTTTTATAACCCTGTGTAATAATGATATAACAGTTACAATATTCATATGTATATTTGATATATGTATTTGTGTATATATATATATGTCTGTCTATCTAAATATCTCCCAATTTACATCTAAATATCACTAGAGCATAGCATTCTATAGCCCAAAATATTTATCACATAGGTCCACGTTGTAACTGTTTCAAAGGACCTTGTTATAAGTTGGTTCTTTGAGCTTCCTACATATGTGTTAACTAGTGACATGATGGAATACTTTCAGGGCAAATTAATCATTTCAGTGATGCTAATACCCATAGAGAAACTAAGTTTTTTTTTCTTTATATGACTACTCATAAGTTCGGCTTTAGGCTTTGAACATCAACACACATGGCCAAAATTAACTTTATATCTTAGTAACATATTATTTTTCCTTAGCTCAAGTTGAGCCACTGTCACAAATGTAGCATAGTTGTCTATATAAATCACTGACTATAATATATATTGATTTATGTGTTTCTTATAACTATGTAATTATTGAATAGGAAATATGAGCAATGAAACAAAAAATTCTACTATCAACTTAGAAATCTAATGCTTTCTACAGATTACATTTGACTATAGAAGAGCATCAGAGACTTGTTGCAGGGTCATCAGTGGCTTTAAGGAGAAAGCACTACTACTTTTAAAAACACATTGCCAGAGTTTATGAAAGTTAATGAAGTAACACTTACTCTTGGACCAGCAGGACCAGGGAGACCAAACTCACCATGGAGACCCTAGACAAAACATGAGAATAAAGCATGAAATCTGTGTGTGATCTCTAAATTCACTTATGATTAAAATATTTGAAAAATTTGGAAAGAGTGAAATAAACCTGGCAGTATCTACATGAGTGCATAAGTACACAGGCTAATAAGAACAACTTTTAGTATGGAAAGATACAGAAAGAGAGAATTTTATTGGTGACAAAAATGTATCCATCCCAGAACTTGGTATCAAAAAATTTGTTTCCCATTATTTAGTTTATTGCTTTTTAAAAAGTGACAGACTATTTCCTTCAATAATAAGATAAATAATAATGAATATTAGACATTGCCTATTTTTAGCTGTATAACAGATCGTCTTCTTAAGAGAAATTATCATATTCTGTACATTGCCTAGTTAATTGTATACCCAAGTGTATCTCTTTTATTACTGACCAGCTGTCTCCTTAATATGTCCTACTGTTGACAAAGGAGACCAGGCCACAGAATGTAACTAAATAGGGGCACATTCATCACAATTAGAGAGAAAATGACTCAGAACTCATGCCCTGATTGTGTATAGTAGTGTCATGTCTGAATGCCAAGAAAAACACAAAAGGAATTTTTCGGGATCTAGTTTGATTGAAAATTGTGCATTTACTTTTTCACTATGGGGAAGGAAATAATTTGTATCTTAACGTTATCAAGAACAATACAAAAAGTAAGGCTATTAAATAAAATATTCATTGATAGATTTTACTTTCATAAGGTGATGTTTCATTAAATCTGTAAAACAAAGTAATCAGAACTAAAGTAATTTGGCTCATTCTCTCCATCAGCACCAAAGTATGTAAAACACTATCATTAACATATGAAATACGAAATTTTCTTTTACATATTATAATTGCATAGCAGTGGGGTATTAAACAGGGGGAAATTCTCAAGTTTAGTAGTTACTACTTACTATTACTTGTTTTACTCACCCTTTCTCCTGGTTTGCCAACTTCACCAGCGGGACCTGAGGGGCCAGGCAGACCCTAAAAATGAAAAGAAATACAAATCTCAATCCCATGGCTACGTTCAGGAGATTTGCTAATAATTGAGTTTGGGGGTGGTGGCTACCAAATATCAACATGAGCACGATTGTATGTTATTAAGCATTACACAAAAGTTTGTTTGAAAAAAATGCACCTTTCTTTGCTTCAGTCCTGAAATCATGTTTATTGTGGTGGAGAAGAGAGGTACGGTATGGTGATTTACAGCTCAATAGGCTGACCAAAGGCAGTATTGTATATGTTTGAGTTGACTTACCTGGAAGCCTGGAGGACCAGGGGGACCCTGTTCACCTTTTCCACCTTGAACACCCTGAAAGTGACAGGAAAGAGAGCATAAATAGCAACGTATGTCACCACTGTTGTCTAGCTGTATAACTTTTGGACTGAAAATGGAGATGGCCAGTTTGAGGACTATATACATTCTAGTGCAGAAGAGCACAAGAGTGGGAGAAATACTCACCTGTGGTCCAGGAGGTCCCTGAGCACCATTGTTTCCATCAGGACCTGGAGCACCCTAAAAATATTTAACAGAAAGGCTGATGGTTAGCTGCAAGCCAGGTAGTTTAAGATGTCTCAAAGCCTCAGGTATTACTTCCTTAAAACAAGTTTGTCATTTTAGCATGAATTAAACTCATTGTGGGTTCCCACGAAAGCCCAAATACTGCCTACTAACTTTTTAAATTTTTAATTTGTGTGGGTACATAGTAGGTATATATATTTATGGGTTTGCCTACTAACTTTTGATATGACTCAAGCGAAGTATGCGACACAAGGCAATTTATAAAGGCCAGAGAATGCTACTACATATTCATACCCTTTTAATTACAAAATGAATAAAATAAAAGCCAAGTGCTTCTGTATTTTTGACCTAATGTATATTCTGATTTGTTTTTGCTCACTGTTTTATAAGTTTGGTTTTTAAAAAGGCATTTTATGATAGTAAAAGGACCCCTGGGGATGCCATCTTGAAAAGAAAGTGACAAAATGATATCAGATGGTGTAAAAAAAAAAGTGTGGTTCTTAGATGAATGCTATGTGAATAGATCTGTACACAAGTTAGCACCTACCCGAGCACCAGCAAGACCAGCATGACCTTTATCACCGTTTTTGCCAGGATCACCCTAGAGTAAAAATGAAAAACAAAACAAAGAACAGCTTTGCACATTTAATGTCAAATTAACCACGGTGATTTTGCAATGTTGAATCCTGCTTGTTTTTGTGTTCTTTTGAGATCCCTAGTCTGTGGTTTCTGTTATCTAAGGATGATCCATCACCATGCAGCTCCATGTACAGTAAGATGTCCCTGTGTCTGTGGAAGCATGGGGCTCAGGAGATGGATTTTTAGCAGGGATATAAGGATACACTAGAGGTAAACTTTTAATGTGATAAGTGGCCTGCAGTTTTCCTGTGTTGAAAGGAAACTCCCTGAGACTGGACTGATTCGCAGGAGATAAATACTAGAGTTTGGTAAAATTTGGCTACAGAAAGTGCTGAGGGTAAGAAAGTTGTGGTGATTCTTACAGTGGGGCCTTTGGGTCCAGGGAATCCAATGTTGCCAGGCTCTCCTCTTGCTCCAGCTGGGCCAATTGGGCCAGGCCTGCCGTCGATGCCAGGGAGGCCCTGAAAGCAGAGTTATTTCAAGTTTACTCAGTGTCAACATATTCTCACAACCTCAAGCTTATGATGCTGCCACGGATGAAACAGAATAGTTTTCTGAATGCATAGAGCTTCTTGTATAAAGCGTTAATAAATTATGAATCCATTTTCCTTTTCTAACTAGGATGTCAGTACACACATAGCCAATTCAATCTCGTATGTATGCAATTTCCCTCATTCCCTTCTCTTGCATCCCCTTGTCACCTGCTTCAATTTTCCCTGCCATGTTTTTCTCTCCCCTGCTCTGCTTTCAGTCCTGTATTCATTTGGACTCCATAATTACAATCTATTACTCTGCATTCCCAGATGATGTATGTGTCTGATATTTATTTTCAATGTGTTCATGTATAAATAAGCCACAAAATAGACTTGATAAGGGTGCAATAAGTGTCCTTGAAAATATAATGGAAAATGAGCAATACTTACGACAGGACCTTCTTTTCCAGCGGGGCCGATATTTCCAGGGGAACCAGGAAGACCCTATAAAATAAATGAGGATGTTTTTATATTGGCACTTTAACTTACATACTCAAGCCTTAGATTAACTGAAGTCTAACAAAGGCACCTTTTCCCCCGACTTTTTGTTTGTTGCCTAGGGTAAATCATTAGGAATATTAGCCACTAGCTGGGAAGTGTGAAAAGAGTTCTGAAATTTTTCTTCTATTTTTTTGTGGCTTTCCTTTTATTGAAATTTAGTGCAACTCATCCTTTTATAGATATCTCAAGAAACTGTTAAGCAACATGTATATGGGCAAAATGTATCACGTTATTTACCTCATAATAGAAAAACTAATACTTTTAGTAAACAATTTCCAAAGTGGATTTCTTATTGCTATATTTGGTGTCCCTATTACTTGTTTATGGTACAATTACAGTTGATATTCACCCATAAGAGGCAATGGAGGCAAAAAAATTACTCTATTGCTATGGATTAGTGTGTCTATGGACCTAGAGGTTATTTCTCCATAGCTAGTGTGATGCTGAATACATTACAGCACTTTGTGATTGCTAGGAAAAAGACTTCACTTATGAATCTAATAAACCAAAAATGTATAGTCCTAATATATTTCATGAACACCTTATATAAAACTCACAAATTAAGATAAAAGATTCATGCTGATAGGAGGACCAATCTAATTTGGATATATTAAAATAGATCTATTCTTCCAAAAACCTCATAGCCATTGTATCAAGTAATAAATAGAAAATTTATGAACTAATTAAATGCATGAAAATATCTACTGAGCTTTGATAAAGTCAAAAATGCAACTGTCAGCAAGACTACTAACAAATTTACTTTTGATGTTTTTATTGTTATCTTCAATATTAACCAACCCTTTAAAGAAGGAAGTAATGCCAGGTGTGATTTGCTCAGAATCAGTTTGAAACTTACTCTGGGTCCCATGAGACCAGGCTCCCCAGGGCGACCAGCATCTCCATTAGGTCCTCGGACTCCAGCAGGGCCACTTGCACCACGACTACCAGGAGGGCCCTATTCAAAAAAAAAAAAAAAACAGATAGAGGAGGAGGATGCTAAAGCTAATGACACACCCACCACCAGAAGCAGCAAGCCCCTTTCTAGGAAGTAAGTGATAGACAGCTTACCATGACGCCAGCTCTGCCATCAGCTCCAGGAAGACCACGAGAACCAGGACTACCCTGCAAGAAAGTACATGAAATAGAGAGAATTAAAGAAATCTCTTGGCTTTGATAAGGTAGAGTTTGTAAAAAATAGCATGATCTCCTTACAGGGGAGATACAGACACAAACCAAGCCAAAACACTTCACCCAACCCCTAGAGGAATTCATAGATGAGCATCCTGCAAAAGTAGGTCAACATTGTTTCCAGGCCAATTTTATAACATATTAAATTGAGAGTCACTGATTTAATAAGGCAGATGGAAAGCAGATGCTTTTTTTGCCTAAGAAAACACAGTCAGTAATTTTGACCAATTCCCAGTGAAGGGGTATCATAATCTGCCTCTGGTGTGTTAGGGTGTTGGGAGCATTTGAAACCTACTCTCAGCCCAGGAGGTCCTGGAGGGCCGGCAGATCCAGCTTCCCCATTAGGGCCTCTCTTTCCTTCTTCACCACTGGGACCAGGAGGACCTTGGGGCCCAGCAGAGCCCTGTTTAATGAAAAGAACAAAAGAAGAGGGAGTAAAAAAATAATTTTAATACTATGTCCAGCTGGAGAAACTGGAATGAGAAAAACAATTAACTTTATAAAAGTGTGATGATAGAGCTACTTACGGGCTCACCCTTGTTACCGCTCTCTCCTTTGGAGCCAGCTGGACCAGGCTCACCCTAGGGTTCAATACAGAACAGTGGTCAAAGGACAAACATTTGTTGAAACTCTCTTGCAGACAAATCTCTTAGAATATTTGTGGGTCAAGGTAAAGAGAAGCTCAAGTTCTCTAGGAAATGTACCCTGTTCATATTTAAATTGAGTACAGGGGAATGGTATTATTGGTCGAAGGGACAAAACTGATATTGTAGAACTTTGCCTCATTTACCTTGAGGTAATGATTTAAGATAACAGGAAGGGCATGTCTGTGTGCATATAGCAGACGGGAGTGTACATATATATATAAGAAATATAAACTAAAAATGCTAAGGAAGAGAAAAATAGGAATAATAAAACTACAAGTGGAAGTCTAGATAGTGATGAAATGATGGCAGAGGTGGTATTTCAGGATGATGAGAACCACAGTCATGACCACTTACAACAAGTCCTCTGGCACCAGTAGCACCGGCAGCACCAACAGGGCCAGGAATACCGCGGGGTCCAGGGAGGCCGGGAGCCCCAGCAACGCCGGGAAGGCCCTGTGAAGGAAAATGCAGTGTGGTCCATTAGGGAGGTGATGGGCTGTAGAGGCAGCACACATTAAATGCCTTTAAAATCATAGCAGCACATTTTAGCTACGCAGGTATACTCACAGCAGCACCCTTGGCACCAGTAAGGCCGTTTGCTCCAGGATTACCCTATGAGGAAAAGGAAAGGAGAAGGATATCAGTTAATTGGAATATTTCGGTTCTTCTTTGACCCCATCTTCATTCTTCTTCTTCCCCATACTCCACCTTTGTTTTCTTTTACTCAATAAAGTTTAAAGACAGTGGCTACTTACAGGAGGTCCAACGGGGCCGGAGAGGCCTGGAAGACCCACTTCACCACGGGGACCGGCGGGACCAGCAGGACCAGCGTTACCAACAGCTCCAATTTCACCCTAAAAGAGGAAATTAAACCAAGGAATTAACCAGCAAATAATGAAACAGCATATCTGTTTTTAAGATGCCAAGTTTTATGAAATGTCTTCATAAAACTTCAAAATTGCAATTATTTTTCTTATCCGTTTTATTACAAGATTTGAGTTTGGTTTCCTATTTTCCTTGCTTGATTCTGCCATCTTGGCTACTGTTACTACCTTCCCTCTCCTTCTGTCTCTCTGTGGTTGACTCTGGTTCTCAGTCAGTCCTAACTAACTAGTCCTAGAGACAATTTCCATGTTGTCATCTATATCGATGGGCACAGTGCACAGTGCAGAGAAATGATCTATTTCAAATGTAGAGTGAGAAAACTGGTCATTCTATGTCCATTTTGAAGGGAAGGAATAATTAAGGTAACTGTTTCGTAATTATCTCTTTATCTGCAAACACAGTTCCAATCTTTCACATCACAGTAAAAAGTTTATCAAAGTAGTGACAATGGTCACCAGTGTTTTTACCTTGGGGCCAGGGGCACCTGGGAAGCCTGGAGGGCCAGCAGACCCAATGGGACCCTGAAATCAAAGCAGAAGGTGGTAAGAAATTTCCTCCAAGTAAATTAAGAAAACAATAACAATGGCAGAAGATTGAAGTTGCTTACAGTGGCATGACACTGTTTATATTAGTAAAGAAAAAAACTGACAACCAGTCTGTTGTCGTTAGGATCTCATCAAAGGCAAGACATTCATGGTATCCAGGGTGGGGATATTTTGCTTTATACATCAATCAAAAGTTCAGGTACTTATAAATGGCTTACACTACTTATAAATGGAGCCTTCAAAAGACCTCACAGAACATTTGGTAAAGTGTCTGAAATGATGCTATTTCGTAAGAGATTAATGAAGAAGACAGCACCCACCCCACATTCTCAACTCCTTTCAAACTCCCCAGTGTCAAAACTTACAGCAGGACCCACGGGACCCACACTTCCATCACTGCCACGGGCACCCTAAGAAGAAAATAAAGGGAAGATCAGGTGGAAACTTAAATGACAGCCATTAGAAGATTTTTTAAAAGGATGAAACTGAACAAAAATGGAAGCACTTACAGCTGGGCCAGGGGCACCAACACGTCCTCTCTCACCAGGAAGCCCACGGGCTCCCTAGAAGCAGAAATATTTTCAATAAAATCCAGAATGCTAATTTAAAAAAAGTCACAGGCATCATTTGCTTTGTTCAGTTTCCAACCTGTACAAGAATACACTAAAAATAAATAAGTTGCCTTCTAATTCCAACTAAACAGTAGTGGATTTCAATTAAGTATCAGAAGGCTATTAGAAAAACATCAAAGAATACAATGCTGAAGGATACAGTGATTAGCAAAAACATTAAAGAAGTTCCATCTCATAAAGAGTGTACACATTTAAATTTACAATGAAGTAGTCAATACTTACTGTTTGACCTGGAGTTCCATTTTCACCAGGGGCACCAGGTTCACCCTACATGGAGAAGGATTGAGTTTTTGTTCATTAAATATAACAATTATTTTTCCTGATAGTGCAATTTTACTCTATTTTTTTTACTTTGAACCATTCATATACTTCATAATATTTCTTACACATATAGATTGTTTTTCAATTATGCCAGACACACAGATTTTAAAATGTGCTAACATGAGTTTTTATTCAGATAGTACCACATATCCAGGTTCTAAGGAGATGTGGTTATTTGAGTGTACCTCCTCCCCAATTTCTCCCTTAGATTCAGGATATCAATTATATACTAGAAACAATATCATAAAAAGAGATGGCAAAGGATAAATTTGCTTTCAATGTAACCATATTTATCCTTTTTAAAGTTATTTTGAACACTCAGTGTTATCACTTTCATAAAATGTGCATGAAAAATTGAAGCTTCATGGTATTTTTTAGAGCCATCATATTTATTTCCAATCTATATTCTTATCCTGAGTAAAAACCAGGGTAGTAGTAGTAGTAGTAGTGGGATTTAATACTATGGCACATGTAAAAGAACTTTTTTTAAAGATAATCTGATTTAGATATAGGGGAAATATGGTTTAAGAGACCTCATAAGGACCCTTAATTTCCAGGATTCTATGTGAAGTCTATTCTTTGGGAATAAGCATTGAAGTGGCAAGGGGGGATCATTTCTAGCCTATGACTTTCTAACCTCTAGATGTGTGACTTTGGGCAAGTCAATTGCTCTCACGAAGCCTCAGTTTCCCACCTCTGCAAAATGAGGGGGTCTCCAAAGCTCCTTGCAGCTCTAACATTTTATGATACAGTGATTAGTAGTCTGAGCTGTTATATCGGGCTCTTGGGAGAATGAGTTTGACCTTATCCATTTGTGTGGCAGCTGGAAAGTTAGAATAGATTCTCCATATTCATGTTCATTTCTGGTCCCGCTAGTATTCGTTACTCATTAATTTGTAATTACGTTGGTATTCACTTTAATATCACATTATCTCCTTAATAGGAAAGAGAACATTTTATAGTTGAAAACGCTGTCAGAGAAGAGCCTAGCCAAGAGATAACACACTTCTGAGACTTTAATTACCTAATTAAAATTTTTTTGAGTGTGCACAGATAAATCACAGGAAAGAGGTTGAAAAGTGTATAGCGACATGAATGTACCTATCTAATTAGTGTGTGGCAAAGGAGAATTTACAGTTTAAAATAATACAGAGTGTCGTAATCTCTGATTATATGTTTATTTACTTTTATTTTGGCTGCAGAGATACACTGGAATTATAGAGGGAGGAAAGGAAATGGAACAAGAAACTATTAATATTATTTTTATCTCAATTGTTTAATAGATATTGAATTTTAATAAATATTAATAATTGACCTTTTTTCACAGACTCTCATAGTCCCCATCCTTGAGGGATTTGAAGTACAGGAAAGAAAAAAAATAAAAATACTTTTTGTAATATGGGTAGTCTTCAGTATAATATACTTTTTTGGAGGTCATGGGGAATTTCAATCAAGTGCTTAAAAACAGTGCTTCTAATTTAATATTTACCTTCACACCAGGAGCACCGGGCTGTCCCTTCAATCCATCCAGACCATTGTGTCCCTGAAAGGAAAGCCTTATTATAAAATGCTGTTCCATGATAGTGTTTGGTCAAATAAAAATTGTATTGTATATCTTTGCCATTAATCTCTCTTGGGTAAGTCTTGTCTGCTGCAGTAGAAAGAAGTCCAGTGTTCCAGGTCCCAGCAAACTCAGTCTATTGCCCTAGATAGGTCACTTAACTTTCTTGCCATTGAGAGAGAAGGATGGAGGACTAGGTGTTCTCTCACATCTTTTCCATCCTTAATAATTTTATGATTTTCAGACGGTTGTAAATACTCAATAAGTAATACATGTTCTATATAATTTTCTCTGTAGTGAGCCTGTTTTTTGGTAGCTATGAACAGACTGAAAAAATTGCACCCCACTTTACTTTCAAGAAATCTGACTCTTTAACTCTTTCTTCCCTTTGGCAAACTCCAGGGATTTGAAAGTGAGTATATGTCACCCAAGATTTTAAACATACTTGAGTTTTTTCCAAAAATTAATAGGCATTTTCTCTCTTCTGAGTAAAGAATGTGCTCACCCTAATGCCTTTGAAGCCAGGAAGTCCAGGAGTTCCAGGGAAACCACGAGCACCCTTAGAAAGAAATACAGAAGATGGTGAATAATGTTTTACCATAAATAAAAAGACAGTGACTTCTTCCCTCCAAAGTATTTATTCTCATCAAAGTTCAAGCTTTGAACCAAAGTCTAGTATACCTCTAAGCACAGAGTGACAAATTAACTTGCTCTAATGTGAGTAACTAATAATACGGTATTTGTAGAAAACACAATTTAGTTGCTTATGGTATGCTTGCTGTCATTTATATTCCATTATTTGCATGAATAAAATGTATATGCATTTTTTTTTAACTAGGCTTTTTTCTTTATTAGATGCCTTCGATTCATGTTATGAGTTTGGGTGACATCTATGTTGTCATTTAGATTGATGCTAGTTTTAGCAACTATCTTATAGGCCTATGATGTTTGTGCTATCTACCAATGTAAAAAGTCTCACCTGTGGTCCAACAACTCCTCTCTCACCAGGTCGTCCGGGTTTTCCAGGGTGACCCTAAACATGAAAACATTGTAGAGTCAACTTCTTCTTGGTAAACTATCAGACAAAATGGGGGAATCTTGGTTTTTACAAAAGGGGAGAAAGTTATCACATAAAAATATGGATCCAGATATATATTTAATCTTTCCCTTAATACAAGTAGGTTAGTTAATATTTCATTAAAATAATATTTCCCATACATTAAGAGTTCTGTCAGGCATATTCAGCTTTTGGCAGAATACTTAATTTGAATCTAGAAAATCTTGTTGAGGCAAGAGTATTTAAATAGCATTTTGAAAGTGCTTAAGAGTAAATACTTACATCTTCACCAGCCTTGCCAGGAGGGCCAGCTGGACCACGAGCACCTGCAGGACCCTAAGAAAATGGGAGACCCATCATTTCACTAAGGTTATATTCATAAACTTCCTGGAAAAAAACTTATCACAAAGGTGGAAAAATGTACTCACAGTTTGACCAGGTTCACCAGGCTCACCAGCAGGTCCTTGGAAACCTTGAGGGCCCTAAAAGAAAAAAAGAATGTCATACTCCAAGCCTTTATTTCTTAATTCTCTGTCTTTTTACATAAGAGGCATTACAAGCTTTCAGTACTTACTGGGGCTCCAGCTGCACCAGGTGGGCCTCTAGGTCCCATTAAGCCCTGTAAAGAAAGCAGATATATCAACAGTTAGCACTGATAAGTTGTCATGGTGTTGGCTGGGGTCAGATATGACCAACTTAGCAGTGCCATTGTTGTGGTTTGATTCCATAGTTTTTATTCCTCCCAAGGAAGAATTTAAGGACTCAAACTTCCTGCACTAGTTCTCTCCCTTTGCTTTTCCTTTTCTCCCAATCCTTATCAACAGAAATCAATGAGAATTAGACGGGGCAGATAGGTTCCTTAAAGTTGTGCACAATTGGGCATATTGAGATTGTTCTGATGCAATGAAGTGAATCAGTCTTTGCAGAAGTGCAGAATATACAATTGTCTTCTATACAGCAGATGAAGCATGTCCATTTGGATATCTTTGATCATATGTCATCTTCCTATGTCATATTTAGCTAAGAAATTGGTATTTTTATTGCCACAAAGGACATAAATTGAAAAGAATCAAAAGTCCTTCTTAATGATTAGAGAGAAGTTTGTTATAACCTTATCGCTCCTCTAAGGGTTATTGGTGACTGATGAAAATGTCAAACAAAAGTGGATGTAATGAGGGGTGAAGGAAAAATAAAACATTATTGAAACAGCCTTCTGGAAGAGTCTATTATATGATATTATTGTTGAAAATATGGCCCAAATGATGGAAGATTGTTTTCCCCTTTGTTGTTTCCATAGCACAAAAGTAGGGTAAAACAGGCTGTTAATAGTTTGTAAGCTAAATACACTTTCTTGACTCCTCTTTGCAGTAATCAGTGCCTGTGTAAGCTCATCCGTAGGGTCTGTTCCTCATAATGCTGAAAATATTTCATGTACCAGTCTCAAGTAATTTGTTCATGACATCAGCTGTGGGGACTCTGCAGTCAAACCTACCTTACTGTATTAATGCCTAGAGTGAAATAACATGGATTTTATCTAAAATGTATGTCATTTTAATTATAAGAATTATTCATTTGGTTTTAGAAATTGCTCTGACATTAAAAGAAACTGTCACTTTTCCATCACAATAGCTTTTTAGGCATACATTAAAAAATAATTTTCTTTGACATCATGAATTTCTAATTATATTTATTTTTTCATGTATTTGCAACAATTTCATTTACATAAAATGTAGTGTATTTCATGGAGGCTGTGATTACTCATTAATTCAGAGAAGAACCCTGTGGGGTTTTATAGTTATTGATTTTCCAACATGGAAATTATTTTAATACTTTATTGCTGCCTATCTTCCCTATTTGTGAAACAGATATCTGTTGATTACATATGTCTGTGCATGTGTGTGGATGTGCAAGCTTAAATTATATTTCACTGATATTTCAAAGTAAAATACTCTGCTTTATGCCAAGACAGATGTTCCGAAAACAGGGGTATCTGAAATCCATATTAATTTTCCCAGCTTAGTGGGCTTTTTAAAAATGACATTTAGTAGCTCTTTACTTTCCGCCCCCTTGCTTCTTCTTGAGATGTAGGTACTGCTTTAAAACTGACTAATGTCCAGCATTAGCTGAAACAGCTAATTTCAAAAATCCAATATAAACAAAGCCAAAAGAAACACTCTACTTTTTCATTTCAGATATGAACATTTTAAACTACCAGAAAAAATTAGGGAATTAGAAGTCGTCAATTAAAGGTACATTATTTCTCAAGTGGGAGTTTTAATTTACAGAAAATATTATCTCACCCTTAGAGTATATTAGCTTACTGTGGGCCATTAGCTCCAGCAGAACATCTTCTTTTGAAGATAGAGCACTAAGTGCACTGCCCAGGTAAAATTTACATTTTAAAGACCTTGTTGACTTTGGGCAGATAAATACCTTTGTTTTGAAACAATTAATTAAAATCACTAAATTGCGTGTGTGTGTATACATTAAATTCTGTAGTGCTTAATCAACCTAACACTTTGACTTCTGGCAGTTTTCCCCTCTATTTCATATATGCTAGTATACATTTTGCATGCTCGTATTAGCATTTTTCCCTTCAAACTTCTCTCTAATGCTTGTTAGAAGCTTCATTTGTTAATAGTCATCATCATCATCATCATCATATAGGGAATGTTTCTAAGCGGTGCTCCACTGATAGGGTATGGTGCTGAATATTTGTACTGAGTGACATAAATGCTAGATTTTTACTCATACTCTCTTCTATATAGATTTACAATCAATAGACTAAAAAAGGATTTTTTTGGTCAAAATTCAGAAAAAGAAACATTTCCTATATTGTTAACTCCTTGAGGAAGGATCAGAATCTGTCATATTCCTTGTAATTTCCCCAGTTCCTAATACAGTTTAGGGCCCATTGAAGGCATCTGATTAATATCTGTTGACTAAATGAGTGGTTTATTCAAGGACTAGGTACATAAACCATGATGTAAGCAAATATTAGACATCTTGCCTGGCATCTAGTTCTAGTTATGTCATTAGTTACCTGGATGACTTTGAGAAAAGGGCTTAAACTCTCCCATTTTAAAATGAGTTAGCTGGACTAGATAGAACTTGTTGATCCTTTCCAACAAGTTCAGAGAACTTAATAAATAGTTCTATGCCTCTAAGTGTTGCTTAAAATTCTAAGCAATGTTAAAGAATATTAAAAAATTAATCAGAGTGATTACTGTTTTAAATTAAATTGATTTGCCCAAGTTATGGTTACTATGTCCAAAGATTATTTCTTGGACATAAGTATATGATCTATCTTAATGAGGATCATATAATCAAAAAGATCATATAATCATAAAAGATCAATTAATCTTTCTTTTGTAAAGAAAAGTGAACTCCTTAACTTATGTTTTCATAAATTTGAAAACAAAAAGAGTTGTTTTTATATAATCTAAGTATTGAGTGTTAACTTAGGTAGCTAAATAAATGGCGTGGTAAAATGTGACATAAAATGAATGATTTATTTAGCAATTTTTTTGGCTAAGATAAACAGATAAGCATACCATTGGTCCAGGGCCAAGTCCAACTCCTTTTCCATCATACTGAGCAGCAAAGTTCTAGAGAAGTAAAAAAAAAAAATTATATATATATATAAAATATTTTTAGTTACTAGTCATGTAGTTCATTTTCTCATTCTACTTGTAAATATTTTTCTGTTGTTATTTAAAAGAGGGCAATGTTTTTGATATAATTATTAGTTTAAAATTCTATATTGAACTAAATTCCTAAAAAGTTATGAGAGCTGTACGTCAAAAACTTGGCCGACACCTCTTTGAAATGGAGAACTTCCCTACTTTACTTTTTGAGCCCTTCCTCTGCCTTAACTCGGTGTCTCCACTCCCACCTTTTACCTCTACTCTGAGGAAGGGAAGCTTTCTAAACTTTTAATGTTACTAAGGGCTCCTGACAAATTAGACAGAGCTCAAGAGGACATCTTCACATTTTCACCTGTTGCCCTTCCCCACCGGAGCTACACAAAATGACTAAGAGATCTTTTTCTTGCTGGAGTTTCAGGAAGGGCATAAAGAGTTTTCAAGTTTAGAGGAAAATTAAATTAAAATACCCCTTGGAAGATAAAACTTCTAAAAACTAGTTCACAGTAATAACTTTACTGTTAAAGATCTCTCTTATAGTGGTAGCTCTATTAAAGAAGCTGCTTTTTAATGCAATTCATAGATAAGCAATCATAATAAGATCTTTGGGGGAGAAAGGTCTTATTTTACTGACATACAGTTGGGTATTAGAATCAGGCTTCTGATTCATAGTGCTAACCAATTAAGCAAATATGTTTTCCTTCCTGCAGTGAGGTCATTTGGCACTCATACCATTGTTAAAGACATGAAGCTAAAAGAAGATATTAATGAAAAAGGGAAATGTACTTTTCTCAAATTAGTTTCAAGCAAATTAAACCTAAAACCGCTTTGAATGTTGGTTCAGCAGACTTCAAGTCAAGGAGAATAAAAAGCGTAGGATGTTTGTAAAATTGCTTAAGATCAGGGATTTCACTTACACAGTTCAATCTAATCAAAATCCTTAATAATGCAACACCTCTTATTTGTGCCTTACTAATAAAAGATATTAAATCTCCAAATTAAATAATGGTAATGATGGCCACAGCTAACTTCAGTGCACACAAAGACCAGTCCTGTAATTGACAAGGGCTCACAAAGAGAATGGGTAAAGCAGAATCTTGAGTGAAAAAACCAAATAAATGAAATAAAATATACTAATTTTCAAATGGAAGAATTATCCCTTAACTGCTAAAAATAAATTCCACAATAAACCTTCTTTCAACTGAAGTTAGCTAAAAGTTAGCAATACGTAAGACACCTTACCCCACCGAGACCAGGGGGGCCAGGAGGACCAGGTGGACCAGGAGGGCCTGTGGGACCATCTTCACCATCTCTGCCTGGGGGGCCTGGTGGACCCTGTTATGTAAAAAGTGAGTAAGGTCAGGTTAGACAGGCCCTGTAGAAACCTAAGAATTATATGTGGTAAGATCAGTTGTTCAGACCTTTCTATGTGCAAGTAGGGTGGAAATTTAATATACTATATTTGTCATTGATTGAAATTCACTTATGAGTCTATTTTAGAAAGAGGGTTAATAACTCTTAAGATATCACAGGGTAGTTTTCCTAAAGAACTATCTCGGCCATTGAATATTAATTCATACTGAAGCTCCAGTATTCAAATATAAAAATTATAGCCAAAATGTATGGTTCCACGTGCTTCATATGTTTAACAGTGCACAAGGACTTACATCGTATTTTTATTGCCGATCTCTGACTGTGACAAACTGATTCAATTGTTTTGGTATGTTACATGTGAATGAATTAACTGATGTGACAGTTAATAAGGTCACTTTATCATAGGAGAGAAAATCCTGCAGATTTACTATCATTAACTACTTGTATTGTTAAAATAATTAACTGATTTAATTCTATTTCTAATAAATTGAGTGAAATACATGTAAGTCTCCTCTTCCTAATAGATATAAGATATAGGTATTCATATATTGGCAAAAGTGTTATACAATGCAAAACCACATAGTTATAAATGTCAAATAAGCATAGCAGGGAGATTTAAGAATGCCACAAATAAAATGTAAGCCTGACTTGTACATGCATGAATTTGAGCAGAGAAACATGTTACTGACTACTAATTCACTATTATTTCCAAGCTACCTAAGGGATCTTAGTTCAAAAGCAAATGAAATGTGTTAAAAAGAGGACTGTGGTGGTAGGTAGATATATTTCCATTATGCATGTGTTGGATGGGTCAATTACAAATAAAGAAAGTAGACCATGCAAAGAATATGACTGTAACAGTTTTTCTTTTTTAACGGTAATTTTGACCTAAAACAAATATTGATCATATATAATAATGCTCATTCGCTTCTTCTGCAGTGCATTACCTGTTTAAAGGGGTGTACAATTATCTGGATACATAATATTCTTATAAATTGCCAGTTCCTGTAGTTTCTAACATATAGTTATTCAAATACGGGACGAAGCCCTTTATAGTTCAAAAATTACACACCCTTTCTCCACGTGGTCCTCTATCTCCGGCTGGGCCCTACAGGAAAGATACAAACAGGACAATAATAAATGCCTAAGAAGTAATTTCCAGTGAACAAACAAATCATTCTTGATAATAATTAGTTGGTAAGACTGATGTAACTACAATGTTATTAGATAGCATATAAAAAATTGACACAATGCAATAGATAAAAGTATATATTTTAATTGTAATTATACGTAATTTTTTTTCAGCTGGAGGATTGGAAGCTGCTATAGTCTTCAGCTATTAGGTCAATACTATGCATAGCATTTTGAATAAGATGATAACTGTAGATTAAATGATCATTTTGTTACATTTTTAACAGCACATTTATATAGTCAAAGCCCTTTAAAATAAACTTTTTTTACTCCCTATAATTAACATAATATGCCTTCCATCTCCAGAATAAAAACAAGTCTTTTTTTTTCCTTTTGTATGTAAATCACCAGTTTGTATCACATAAATGTAATTACAGATGATTCCAGAAGATAATTAAACTTTGTTATCTTAAACATCAAAGCTACTTTATTTTATGCTTTAGCTAATGTATATTCATATGAACAAAATTTTGATAAAGTATTTTCCTTCTATAGTCTACTATAAATTTAGTTAAATTATGTTATCCCTGATAATTTTAGATATTTATGGAGAAGTAGTGTACTCTTACCTTTCTTACAGTTTCCTAGAAAAGAATAAATCAAAGATTATTATGAAGAAAATTGTATATATATATTTAAAAACAGCTTCCATTTTGGTGTAGTATACAAATATACCTTCACAATTCATTACATTATGCATTTACTATTATCTCAGTTTAATATTTCAAACTACAATTTAAAATTTTACCAACATGTCAAATAAAAATATGTACCTACAGAACAAAAAATACATAGCAATACGTACCTGTACTTATGCCTCAAATTCAACTCATGAGCTAAGAATGTGTTAACAATAAGTGCTTTTGCAAATAATTCCAAAGGAGTGAAAAGATTCTCTAGCTCAGTGAAATCTTCTGCTTCATAGAAGCTGATCCTAAAACTCAAACTTCTATTGGATTATTTACTCTATATTTCTTATGAATATTTTATAAACCTAGTCTTATTCAGTAGCCCCGCCTATTTTGGAAAATTGGGTGGGTACTTTCTAAGGCAGCCAGAAAGGTTTTGACTATCATAATTCTTCACAATTTTCTTGGGAATCTAGGATGGTCAATATTAATGTAACTTCTTCCCTTCCAAGAGAAGACATCACTGTAGCCAAGGGAATCAAAGTATTTTTAAAAATTCTAAAAAAAGTTTTACTCACCTCTTGTAAAGCTGTAGAAAAAAAAAAGAAAAAGTAGGAAACAATTATTAGTATCACTTCATGGATCAATAGCAATAATTAACAAATAGAGAAACAAGTTTATAGAATTGAATTACCTAATTAAGGACCAATTATATTTTTTTAAGAATATTTTAATGACCTAGAAATTATGCAGGTCAAAAGTATGGCAGGGATCAGCAGGGTGATTTGTTTGCAATATTAATATGTAAATGTATTTTGAATTAAATTATTAATTATTTACTATTTTATAACTGTTGTGAAATATTAATGTGTCTGAAGGATATTTTGAATGCTTAGCAATTAAGCTGGTAAAGTGCACAGATGAATCGCTGAATGTAAGACTAGTAGATTGATGAGGAAATAATTTATGATTTTGATCATTTTTAATACCTAAATATCGAAAAAAGGTAAAATTTAGGAAAGTATGTTACCTTAAAATTCTATATTGAATTTGTTTTTTATGAAACATTGAAGCTGACTTACTTTTTTATAAAACATTGAAGTTACCTAGTACTTCATTGAGTTTGTACCATTCTTAATATCCTTTTTCAAAAGGTCTAATTTGCACATTATTAACTATGAAAATGGATTAATTCAGACATCTGAATTTTGCTTTAAATTAGTTCACTTAAATTAGGTAAGATCATTTTACCAATATGTATCATTTTTGTCTCGGAGAAAGAGTTTTGTATAAATGGAAAAACCGGATTAAAGATCTTGAAAAATAATAGAAAAAATAAACAAAAGTACTATCCCCCCTTTTGCCATAATTGTTATAAGTCCTTAAAGAGTGAATTCTTCTCCTACGGTACAAAAATTATAGGTTAATACAGGATACAAGTGTGGCCAAGCTTGCAGTAGGATGAATCACCCCAAAAATTGCTTTAATTAGGTGGCCAAGAAGTGCGTTATTTGAAGTGAGAACATCTGTTGCAACAGTCACAATTTAGGAGGGTGGACCACATCCAGCACTGACATTTAAGGGCAATTTACGAGAATTACTGTTAAATTACAAGAATGATATGTTTACTTCATTGTGTCCATCAGTAGGAAGAATAATTATGCCTGACTTGATTAACGGAAGTCCTTATGATTTTGGAAATTTGCCTTTTAATTACTCAGACATGGACCATTTTGAAGAATGTGTGTTTGATAACATTTATTCCAGACTGTGGTTGGCTGTTGATCAGAAGGTAAGTTGCCTTTGTACCTTCAAATTTCCCTAAGTCTGCCTTCATTTTATTCTCTAGGAGCCGACTCTTTCCTCCCACTCTCAAGATCTCATTAAAAATATGAACTCGGTAATGTGAATTTGTTCACTGCAATTACTCCTTAGTATCCACAGTATGTATACTAAAAGTGAATGAAGGGGGAAGAGACACACAGACACACAGACACACACACACACACACACACACACACAAGCACACAAATGCATTAGAAATTATGCAGTGGTAGACACCGTGCTGTGTGGGTGGAACAACTTTTTGGAGTACTGGGTGTGGTCAGACAATACCATCCCCCATCTAGTCAATATCTTTGTCTAGCACTTTGGCAGCCATTTTCAAGATGAAAACGGACTGATCTTCTTCATTCTCTGTTGACATGAAAGTCTGGCCATGGAACCTAGAGCTGGAAAGTGGCCTTGGGGTCCCTTTAATCTCTGTCTCACATTTTAGAAAAGGCCGTTTGACTTGCCCAAAGTCACGCAGCAAATTGGTGTCAGACTCATGGGAAAAACCCCGGTCTCTTGAGTCTCATCTCAATGTTGATATTTCTCAACTTGCTGCGTTCATAATGTTTGCTTATCACTGGGAACATGTCAAAGGGGTAATTCTCAGGCTCAAACAAAATTTAGAGCAGATTTGAGTTAAAAAATGTTACCATTTCCATGACTAGAAAGTGAATTGAGACACTTATATTACTTTTCAGAATGTACCCACTCCAAGTAGCATCCATTCTTCTTTCCAGGGTTCACTGACTAGCCACTGGGAAAGGCTCCAACCAGAAATGCTGATCATTAATCTGTATAAATCCGTAGAAGCTTTAATTGGGATTCCATCTGCTTAAGGCCCTGTCCCCTGTACTTTCATTTTCCTTCCTCCAGAGGGCGCCTTATAACCATCATCATATCAGCATCGTCATCCTCCTCCTCCGGACAAGCCTTACAATGCCCAGAAGATAAAAGCTCTTAGGAGGTGAGTTTTACATTACTCAGTTGAAGGGCTTTCTAACGCAGGCCTCAAGTTTTACAAGGTGGACATCAGTGCGGTTATGGGGCCTGTGGGGTGCAGGCCCTTGACTTCCTCCACCACATTGGTCGTTAATATCTCATCCTTAGGGAAAAAGACCTTCCGCTCCCTTTGGGGGTTACTAAGCTGAGGAGCCAGACCGAGTTAACTGTCTCACTCTGAACTTAGAGGAAAAGTTCCCTAACTTTTGGCAAGGCTTTTATGTTTTCATTTTTTAAAGTAATTTCCATGTTTCTTATCAATTCCGGCGTTTTCCCACATGCCTGAGAGTCTGCCCTCCAAGTGTACCTGGAATTCAGGTTACAGGTTTTCCTTTTCAGGGCAGGGTGCCCTCCCATCTAACCTCTCTACCCAGTCTCCCCCAAACAAGCTGAAGGCACTTACATTGGCATGTTGCTAGGCATAAGGTTACTGCAAGCAGCAACAAAGTCCGCGTATCCACAAAGCTGAGCATGTCTAGCACTTAGACATGCAGACTCCTTGTGTCGCAGAGCCCCTGGGTCACCGGCGGAGGTATCACCTGGCGGGCGCGGGCATGCAGTCGTGGCCAGTACCTCCAACTTAGCCGAAACCTCCTGCTGCCGTGGTGCTAAAATAATAAAGCCCGGATCTGCCCTATTTATACGGCAAAAGTTTCCCTGGCCCTAGGGTGCCTCCAAAAGGGCCTCCACCAATGGGAGGGCTGGGGCTGGGGGCCCGGGCAGCCACAGCTGGGAGGAGCCTGCGGGGGCGCAGAGGAGGGAGCGAATGGGGGAAGGGACGTGGCCACGGGGCTGGCTTCTTAAATTGGTTCCATTCTTTTTGAGGACGTGGACACTTTTGAGGCTTTCAAGGGGAAACTCTGACTCGTTGTCTGCATACCTCCGCCCTCCGCATCCTCCCGCCCTCCCCCGCCCTTTCCAAGTTTGGAAACACTATGGGACACGTCGGAGTGCTCTGCAGCCCCGACATGGGCAGAATTTGCAGATCTCCGGCGATCAAAGCAGGAGCTGTCCAGTCCCGCCTCACCTGTGCCCTGTAGGCCACTTGTAGGGTGGAGGGCTCCAGCGGGAGCGGAGGGGGCAGAGAAGGAGGGAGGGAAGACTCGATAGCGTGGCGCAGCCGGAGCCCGCCTCCCCGCCCCTCCACCCCTGCACCCCGCCCCCAGCCCCGTCCAGCTTTTCTCTAGCTTTGGGGCTCGTGTGCGCCCACTGTTTCAGCAGTGATGCACTCTCTTTGTCTTATGACTTCGGGAAAGGGCGGGTCCTGTCTGTGGAGGGCTGGGTTGCAGTCGGAGGGCGCCTTTTGTTGGCAGGTGGGCTGGGGAGCAGGCTCGAGGCTGCTTGGCACCCGGCTACAGGGAGGATAGGCTTTGCGAACTCTAGACTAGACCGAGTCACCTGGGGAAGTCCTTCGACCTCCTAGCTTGCCTTTGCTGAGGCTCATTCCAAAGAGGGTCTTTTGGGGGATGGTCTGGCACTCCGACACGACTCCAACCGACCTGGAGACCGAGAACTTATTTCTCAGTCTCTCCTTTCTGAGGCTGCGGTGGGGGATCTTTCATGGTTTCCAGTCTCCCCTCCCCTTCTCCATGGGCTCCTTGTCTGGATTTACCAGTTCTACCCTGAGCCTGGACCCTTCAACCCTCCCGTGAGCCCCCCGGTCCCTCTTGACCTTGCTGCTTACTCTCTGTCCCATCTCTTACAGCCACACCCAAGCACCTCCCCTAGCACATCCAGAGGCCCTTCTGATTCGAGCTTGGGGTCTTCGTAGTCTTCGCTGGTAACACCCCAAGCAGTGCGCCCACCAACGTGGATGTTAACTCTCTCCCCAGCACCCAACTTCCCTCTTCTCTGGCCGCCTCCATCCAACCCTCCACTCCCTACTAGGGAGAGGAGGAACTGGTACTTTGACCCTGAGGTGGGAGGCCAAAGGTCCTGTGCCTTTTTCTAAAGCCTCTTGGGATGGCATTCCAGGCCCTAGGTTTGAAAGGCTGTGTGTGTGTGTGTGCGCGCGCGCGCGTGTGCGTGTGTGTGTGTGTGTGTGTGTGTGTGTCAGGCCTCTCCTCTACTTGCCTAAGGTCCCCATGAGGCAGCGGGGGCCTAGTTAGAGTGCTGCTCTATCCCAGAAGTCATCGCAAAGGGGGCATCTTTAGGTCAGTTCTGTCTCTAAGAAACAGAAGCAAGTGGGCTGTAGTTCCCTGAGAATCTTTTTCCCTTCCTTCCCCCCACCCCCTCCCCGCTTTTTTTGCTTTGCCTTAAGGAAGAATTTCTGCAGAAGTTAACTCCATCAGCAGCTTCTGTAAATAAAAGGGACTATTCTAAAGCAGGTTACTCTTTCTAAATGTAAAAGAAGAAAAAAAGGTTAATGCAAGTAAAAGTGGATAACCAAAAACTATAATAAACTCTTGTTTTATTCTAATTAAAGGCACTCACTTGGGAGACCACTTTGGATGATTTTTTGAAGTAACTGGGAGTGAAAGAATTTGAAAGGGTTACTGGTCATTCCTAGAAGGGGGTTTACAGGGAGCAATCCACATTCAAATTTTTTTCTAACTAGGCAACAATGTTTGAAGTTTTCTAGGTTCTAGGAACAACAACAACAAAAGACCTGAGGTTGAATTGTATATTCCAAGAACATTTTTAACATTTCCCTGAAATATCACCGTTACAGAACTAACAAAAAACTTTTAAAGTGGAAATCATTTTTATCAGGAAAGAAAAACTTCAATACTACATCATAACAAATTTTTTTCTGCATATCAGAAGAGTGAGAAATGATTTCTAAGAATCATTGTTACCACTGTGCTGAATTACCTTTGCAGGGCATATGTGTGTATTTGTCCTGTGTTGCTGAGAGTCAGAGACTAATTCTGAGCAAAATGACTCAGGGTGGTAATGCAACAGATTTATGAAAGAAACCCTCCAAATACCCTTCAGTGAGGTTATCTGATAACGCTTCTGGGGTCAAGTTGGCTCAATCATTGGATTTGCAATAGATATCCCAAGTTTTAAACATTTCATTGTAGGTTTTGTTGTTGTTGTCAAAATAGTTTAAAACATAGAATGTTTTTAGAAGTGTGATTATAATTTCTCTTTTAGCCAAAAAAGAAAAATCCTCAGCAAGTTTTTGAGAATTAGAGGACTGTAAATTGAAGCAGACATCTATAAACTTAGAGGGAAAACGTCTCTGCTAAAGGCAGCAGAGTGAACTGATAACTTGAAAAGCATTCCTGGAAACTGATGCAAATACCAAATGCCGCTGTGCTCCCTCCCTGCTGATGTGGCAGGGTTTGAAGCAGGCAGCCGTCAGCATTTGGTGGGAGGCCCTGGACCTAGAAACAAAAAATGAAAGTGGAGAAAACCAAACAAGAATCTTTCTTTCTTAAAGTGAGAATCAAGTTCTAATTGCAGCTGTTTTTCCATATAACTTGGGGGAAAATAGTTGATTAGGTGTTTGTTTTAAAGGAGGAATTTTTAGTGGTCAGTTAGATCTCTGTTAAATATTTTTGTGACTCCAAATAAGGAGCAGTTTTTCCTGGGGATGGGGGTGGGACTGGTAGAGCTGTGAGAGCTGACCCAGAACCTGAACTGAATGCCCTGGTGAGGGCCCTGATGGTTCTAGTGTGGGGAGAGGGGAGAGGGAGGGAGGAGAAAATGAGTAGAAGGAAAAACAAGTAAGGGGTGGGGTGGGGTCAAGACTGAGAGTAGAGGGATGGAAGAAGGGAGGCAGAGGAGACTAAAGATTCCTACAACTTTGGTGCTAGACGGTTAATACCTGGGTTCCTATGCCCAAATTATTTTCTATGAAAGAAAAGATAATTTCTTTAGCTTCCTATAACCCACTGATTACAAACTGGGCCACATGTTTATATATGGCAAGAAAATGGTTGAGAGTCTGGCTAATACAGAAATGCAGAACAGCCTGACGAGGCCCTGATGTCTTAATCTTATATTCCTTTCTTTGATCAAAGGTAAACATCGGACTGACATCTCCTTTCAAACATTCATTGAGGATCTACTCTGTGAGAAGAAGCAATACCATGTTATCTCATTCTAGTTCCAGTTCTAGTTGACTTGATTGTCAAACGACTGCTAAGAAGGTATTTGCTGAGAATTAATGTGGTAGCTGAAGAGTTAAGTGCTGGTTTTTAATTTTGTATTTATTTATTTATTGAGAAGGTCTCACTTTATCACCCAGGCTGGAGTGCAGTAGTATGATCTGGGGGCACTGCAGCCTCGAATTCCTGGATTCACGTGATCCTCTTGCCCCAGCCTCCCTAGTGGATGGGACTACAGGTGCATGCCACCATGCCAGGCTAATTTTTTGTATTCTTTGTAGAGATGAGGTTTCACCATGTTGCCTAGGCTTTTCTTAAACTCCAACTGAGCTCAAGTGATCCACCTGCCTCTGCCTCTTAAAGTGCTTGGATTACAGGTGTGAGCCACTGTGCCCAGCAAGGGCTGATTTCTTTCTGTGATATTTGTTTGAAAGGCATGGAGATTCCTGCTCTGTGTCATATCAATTAGGATATTCAGTTCCCATTGATTATTTAAATGAGTCAAGATATATATATATATATTTTTTTTTTTTTGAGACAGAGTTTTTGCTCTGTTGCTCAGGCTGGAGTGCAATGACACGATCTCAGCTCACTGCAACCTCTGCCTCTTGGGTTCAAGCGATTCTCCTGCCTCAGCCTCCCAAGTAGCTGGGATTACAGGTGTCCACAACCACCCCTGGCTAATTTTTCTATTTTTCAGTAGAGAGGAGGCTTCACCATGTTTGCCAGGCTAGTCTGGAACTCTTGACCTCAGGTGATCCACCCACCTCGGCCTCCCAAAGTGCTAGGATTACAGGCATGAGCCACCTCGCCCAGCTGGTAAGATGTATGTTTACTCAAGCAATATTTAGTGTTATGCCAGGCACTTACTGGGTTGGTGGGTATATAATTATGAAACAGAATGCCAAGGTCATTGCCCTCAGGGGGCTTATAGTCTGTTGGAGGATAGAGAAGAGTGTGATGAATACTGTAATGGAGGAATAGAATGCTTACATGTTTATGGGAGGATTTAGGATGGACACCTCATCTAGATTCAGATAAGTGGAATCAAGGAGGGCTTCCTGGAGGATGCAACATCCTTGTTCAACCCTTAAATACAAACAAAATTTTAAAAAGAGGTGTGAGAGTGGTGTGGGCACAGAGGCATTGAAAAATTTGGCAATCTGAGGAATGGAGCATTTCAGTACGATGGGATTGTGGTGGAAAAGAGGGAGGATAGAGGAAGGAGCTAGAGATGAGATTGGTGGTTTTGGCAGGGACCAGATCAAAAAGGACCTTTTAGGCTGTATTCTGGTGTTTGTGTTTTCTCAAGTGTGCTATGGGAGTGTTTAGATTATTTTAAACAGAGAGGGTAGGAAACCAGAGAGTGTTTTGAATAAGATGACTGGGGCTGCAGTGTGGAGAAACGATTAGAAGGGGAGCACAGTAGAGACAGGGAGAACAGTAAGGAGACTGCAGCAGGAATTCTGAGGGGAAATGATGGTGGCCTGAACTAGGATAGATGTGGTGGAGCTCAAGAGAAGTTGATGAGCTATAGAAATGTTTCAGAAGTAGAAGAAAAGTGCTCTGATGTTTGGTAATGGGGAGAGAGAGAGAGAGGAAGAATTCAAGGGGATGACTTAAGGAGCACTGCCAGTTTCTGGCTTTGGCAACTGGATGACTGGAGGTGCCATCCAGTGACTTGGGGAACATTTGAGGAGGAGATAGCTTGGGGTGGGGAGGGGAGGATAAAGAGGCCAATTCATGTTCAATTTTGGGTGATTGTGGGCCACCTAAGAGGAGAAGTCTCATAGATAATTAGATACTTAGGCCTCAAGTCCACAATCTCTATTTGGCCTTGACTTATGGATAAAGGAGTCATCAGATGACTGATGTCATGGGAGTGATGAAATCTCCCAGATTATATGTGTGTGTGAAAGTAGAAAACAATCAAACATAGGACAAAACTCTGAAGAGCTCCAATGTTAAAGAATGAACAGAAGAGGAAAATCATCAAGGCAACTGAGAAGGAGCAGCCACTTTGGATGGGGAAAAGCCGTAATGTCCCCATCACAGAAGGAAAGAAAACACACTTTGCAGGGAGGAAAGAATAGTTTTTTAGGGTGCTGGAAAGTTTCATGTTTTTCTGAGAGGTCCAGAAAAGGCTAAAAAGATTACATAAATTAGCACCTTGGAAGTCACTGGTGACTTTCGTAACAGTGGTTTCAGTGGAACAAAATCCAGGTGAGCGAAAGTGGAAGAGGGAAAGGTGAGGTAATAAACACATGTGGTGTGGAATTTTAGCTATAACAGGAGTCCAGAAGGAGCTGGATAGAGTTTAAAGATGATGTTAGGATTACTATGCAAGAGGATTATGCATGTTTAGAATAAGATCATTTGAAGCAGCTGCTTAATTTTAACACTCACCCCCATTTTAAAGCCTTCCACTAAAATATTCTTTAGGTTTTCTATGTTATGCCCCTCTTCCTTTGCTTTTTAGTATTGAAGCAAGGAACATTTAAGTGTGTATGGATTTTTTCTTCCTAACTTGTTAGTGAATCATCAATTTTTCTCATGAGCTTCTTTTACAATGTGTAGACAGAGTCGATTTATCTCATATTTCATGAATCCCAGTTTAATCTCCAGTGCCCCATTTTTCAAGTTTAGAAATATGAAATAGGTAACCACTTCTTTACTTACACATGATTCTGAGTATTCTTTTATACAGATTGTATAGAGATAGTTGTTTTGTGGTATCTTGTTATTGACTATTCCAAGCCCCATAATTCAGAGGGATGTATTTGGGCACACAAATTTCAACTTTCAGTTAAGTCTGCCTTTTTCTTTGAGAAGATGCTGATTACATTTCTGCAGCCAGTTCCAAATCCATCCTTAAGTTGAAAAACACCAGAATGTTGATGCATTCCAAAAGTCCACCTGGTTTATTAGAACTTTGGTTGGCTTGGCTTCCAGACTCATATTTTTCAATTCTTTTCAAGTAGCTGAAAGAAATAAGGAGACATTTACTTCCAGTTGCAAGAAAGAGTCTGGGTGTTGATAATTGATTAATTCATCCATGATCTGTCTTTGGTTCATATATTACATATAGAAAAACAATTATAAAGACTTAATTCTGTGTGATACTATATGTGCAATTAATACAGTTTATATTTTATTTTTTAAAACTGGCAAATTAAGTTATTGGTATTACCGTTAAACTTTTTTTTTTTTTTTTTCTGAGATGGAGTCCCGCTCTGTTGCCCAGGCTGTAGTGCAGTGGCATGAACTTGGCTTACTGCAACCTCTGTCCCCAGGGTCCAAGCAATTCTTGTGTCTCAGCCTACTGAGTAGCTGGGATTACAGGCACCCGCCACCATGCCCGGCTAATTTTTTTTGTATTTTTAGTAGAGATAGGCTTTTGCCATGTGGGACCAGGCTGGTTTCAAACTCCTCACCTCAAGTGATCCGCCTGCCTCGACCTCCCAAAGTACTGGGATTACATGAGCCACCACGCCTGGCCCTGATAAACCCTTTAAAATTTGATTTTGACCATTGGAATTCTTTGTGTGAATAATCTTTCAGTTAGTTAATGTGATGTCATAACTACCTGTTATATAGTGTGCTAAGTACTGTGGCGGGAATTTTAAATAAATTATCTCAAAGTGCCAACAATCATTATCTGCATCTTAAGGGGTGTGTTTTATTACTTTTTTTCAATTTTACAAGACAATTGAGGCTCAGAAAGCTGAAGTGACTTGTCTAAGGCTTCCTAGATATCCTAGAATGGGCCAAGTCCTTTTGTTGTACATTTTCAAAATGCCTTGTACTTCTAATACCTAATATCTACCACAAGACTGGTTGGTTAATTAATTAAAAGTGCTAATTATTCATTGACTAGCTTCACTTGAATGTGAGGTCTTTTATAGCAGACACAATGCCAATTTCATTTACCCTTCTATCACTAGATCCTGGCATAGTGCCTGCTGACTTATAGATGCTCAACAAATATTTACCCAATAAACAACTGATTTGGCATGACATAGCTGGAAAATAAGGAACATAAATATAAATACTGGTTATTTACTTCACTGATGATTTACTATTTAACCCATACATTAAAAATTTTCTTTTATTGATATAATGGCAATCAACACATGAAATGTACTTAACACATAAATGTATTTTAGGCAGTTCACCCAATAGCCATCCCTAATAGCTCATAAACATTTAAGTCAAATTTATGAGGAACAAAATACCATAAGAATAGGAAAAAGCTCATTTTATTAATTATAAAGTCATGAAATAACTGAGAGTTGGAAGATAATTTAAACATCATCCAAAACATAATCATAATTATAAATGTGTGGAAGCAAGATTTGTTTTTCTACCATATTTCTATTGTCTGACAAGTGTCTGGTATACAACAGGTATTCAATAAGTGCTAGTTGCATGAATTAATTCCTTTTACAAATGAGAAAACATGACTAGAGAGGTTATTTGACTAGTCAGCTTATGGTAGACCTGTAACTAGGGGACTGGCCTCTTGACTGCAAGCCTCTTGCTCCTTCTTTTAAATTAAAATAAAATCTAGCATTTGTCTGGAATATTTTTCAATATTTAACACAACAATCTGAAGAGTTTTACAAGGGGAAAATTATTTCACAAGGAGAAAATTGAAGCTCAAAGTTAAAGACTTTCTCCAGGTCACTGGTTCTCAAAGCGTGGTCCCTGGATAATAACATTAGCATCACCTTAGAACTTGTAAGAAACACAAATTCTCATGCCTTATCTCAGATCCACTGAATCAGAAACTCTGGGTGTGGCTTCTCAGCAATCTGTGGGTTAACAAGCCCTCTAGGTAATTCTGATCATGCGGCAGTTAGGAACTACTAGTGTTGAGGAATGTGACTGTTATGGTTAAAGTTGGATTTAGATAAATTACTTTGATAGCCTCATGGAGAATAGATTAAAGTAGGGCAAGATGGAAACCTGGAAGTCCAGTTATGAAGATAACTTCTTTTCTCTCTTCTCCTTCACTCCAAAAAGCCTCCTTCACATTTTTTTGCTCTCTCTTTAATATGTCTGTTGACTTACTACTTTTATTCTATGTTATTTCTAGTTGACCAATAATAATTGTATATATTTATGGGGCACAATGTGATCTTTCAATACATGTATACATTTGGAATAATCAAATAAGGCTAATTAACATATTTATCACTTCAAATATTTATTATTTCTTTCTGGCGAGAACATGAACAAATCCTCTTTTTTAAGCTCCTTTGAAGTATACAATACGTTATCATTAACTGTAGTCACCATGCTGTGCAGTAGATCACAAAGACTCATTCCTTCTGTCTAACAGGAACTTTGTACCCATTGCCAACGTCTCCCCTTGCCTGTCTAGGCCCCTTCTTTTCTTGATTCTCCTTGGTACAAAGAGATGGGTAGCTGGACATTCTGGAAGCCTATTAATTATTCTTTATTACAGTATTTGTAGCATGATAGGAAGAATTTTAATCCTTTTCTTTGCTCATCCTAACTCTACTTAAAGTTATTTAGTTAACAAATTTACAGTGAAAAAATGTGTACTGAAGGGTATACATGAACTCTTCAAGAAAGCTGAATGTGATTTGAGTAATGGTAAAAACCTGAATGTGATTTGAGTAATGGTTAAAACCTGGTGCTAATGAAGTCTGGGCTGTAGCCTCAGTTCCTCTATGGACCAATTAACTTCTCCCAGTTACAGTATCTTGGAATTCACCACTCTGTGGACTTGGAGTGCCATTCTCTTGGTAATTAAGCAGATCAGGTGAGGCAAAAAAGATGCATACTTTACTGTAAATTCATTACTCCTCCTAGAAAAATGCCTCCAGAGGCCCAGGTGATTGTATTTACACATTGACATATGCTTCTATTCCCTGTAGTTTCTGTGTCACGTTTTGATACTTGAATAAAAATGACACTTTGGAGCCTTGAAAAATGGACTTTCCTTCTGAAGTACCCAGGAGAGTAGGTAAGCGAATAGATCTTCCTATTCAGAACTTCAGAATGTGCAACATGCTGGACTAAAACAGTCACGTAAGTCATTGTTCATGTCTGTGAGTCCCTGTTGGGTTTTCTGACAGGGACCTCATTTTACAACTGCGGCCATTTATGCACACCAGCAGACATACTCCTGCCCAGACTTGGAACAGGACCTGTTGTATAGGATAAATTTAAGAAGCTGTTCTAGCCTTTTCTAAGCATTGTTTATCGTATTTCTCTCTGGGGCTCTGTTCTTTTGTCTGGGCTGCGTATTTCTGAAACCAGACGAAATTGTATGTCCATTCTTATATCATCTATCTCGTTTTCTTGCACTTGAGTTTCTCTTTTGATAATGTGCCTGGTTCCTCTATTATTGGTAAAAATCAATCACTCTATTCACTCCTTCCTTCCTTCCTTCATTCAACAAAACTACTACTGTCTGTGTAAGACACAATGTTAGAAACTCGGCCTGATGGGAGGATTGCTTGAGCCTGAGTTTGAGGTCAGACTGGGCAACATAGAAAGACCTTGTCTCTACAAAAAGTAAAAACATAAAAATTAGGCATAGTAGTGTGCGCCTGTGATCTGAGCTACTCAGGTGGCTGATGTGGGAGGGTCAGTTGAGCCAGGAGGTCAGGCTGCAGTGAGCTGAGATTATGCCACTGCACTCCAGCCTGGGTGACAGAGCAAGATCTTGTCTCAAGAAAAGAAAAAAGGGAGAGAGAAAATAAAGAAAGAAAGAAAAAAAATTGGGCCTGAGCTATGATCTTGGCAACCAGCCATTTATTACCCCTTCCTTACACCCTGGAGGCTGGAGTTCTGCTCCTAAATTTCAGTGCCATGTCTGTATATTCGTGTCAGTTACTGTTGCAGACCTAACTGCCTGGATCTCCAATAGTGCTTCCCCAGGACTCTACAGTCCTACACTTGTTGCGGCAGCTGCATTCCTTCGTGCAGGACCTCTCTGATGGCCATTCTGGCTTATTGTCTGCAGCTGAGTGCATTTCTGCTCTGCCTGCTCCCAATCTTCACTTTGCTCTCAGAATCTCCATCTGAGAGAATAGGATAGGTTTTGCCAATTCCTCCTGCCGCATCTTATTTTGAATTATATGTTCAACAAATAATGATTAAGTTCTTATTATGTGCCCAGTGTAGATGTGGGAATAGAAAAAGGAATAAGATAGAAATTCCAGTCTCAGGAGACTGTTACAGATAGAGTAGATTCTCCCTAATTGTGAGGATAACAAGATATTGCAGTTGGAGGTATTTAAGATTTTAGGGGGATTAAATGCAAACTTGCATAAATCTTCTTTGTATTATCTCTAAAATAGAACCATCAGAACAGCATGCTAAACAAAGAATATCGGTAACATTTTTCACATCTTAAATTAATAATAATGGTTATAGTACAACTGCTTTCCATTTATCATCTCTTGCTCAGGTGAAATTTCTCAGGGCCTTTCTCCTCTGCTATTTCAATAAAATGCCCATAAATTTGCTTTGCTTTGCCAAAGTAATATACATGTGAAAGATCTTTCCCCCTGAATTTGATTCTCCATCCAAATGTGCAATGCCTTTCTGATTTGATGATTTGGAATTGTTGACTTCTGCATCCTCAATCCCAGAGATAACTCCCCAAAGTACATGCCATCAGGCCCCTCTTACACAAATACCACTTCCCTCCTTCCTTGCAACTGTGGGAGTTCCGTTTTAAGGTCCTGGTTGACGTCTCCTCAGATTCCCTAATTTGCTAAAGCCTCAAGGCAAAAACCTCTGTTACTGTCATGCCATCTGCCTTCCTTTATTTTTTATTCCCATCACCCAATTTCCTCTTTTTCTAATTATCCCCAAAAGGAGTAACTCATAATTCTTATATACTGGAACTAAAATTCTTGTGGTTGAGAAAAAGTATACAAAAATAAACTGCATATACTGAAATACCTTGTTTATTAAAATTTGATATAGGGACAATTCATGCATGGGTAGAGGTTACTATAACTTACCTGAGAAAATAATGCATTAGCTCTTTAAAACAAAGATATTTTTCCTTAATGCAGTGAACAATGTATTAACAAGGTCTAAGGGAGTTAAAAAGTCACTTGTTCTGCTTGGGGAAGTTGACGAGGCTTCCAGGAGAAGGGAACATTGGAAGTGAATCCTGGAGAAATTCACCAAAAAAGAAAGGAAAGGAAAACCTTTTCTAGACAAGATGATATAATATTTGTAGTGGGAGGTGACATTTATCATAATTTGTACTTACATAATTAATGTTATCATAATCTCCCTCTAGAACAGTGATTCTCAATCTGAGGTGATTTGTCCCCCAGGGGATGTTTGGCAGTGTCTGGAGACATTTTTGACTGTCATTAACTGGGAACAGGGGTGTATCCTACTAGCATTTAGTGGATAGAGGCCAGGGGTGCTGCTAAACATTCTATTGTACATGGGACAGAGCCATAACAAAGACTTACTCATCTCAAATGTCAATATTGCCACTGCTCTATAAGGTAAGTCCCACAAGGGCTGGAATCTTGCCTGTCTTATTCACTACTGTGTCATAAAACCTATCATGGTTACAGTCAGTGTTGGTACTCATTTAACTTTTGCTAAGTGAAGAGAGGCATGAAAGAGAAGTCGTGTTTGAGAAAGAGCAATATGTATGTTAGTACTTGGGGTACAATTAACAGTGCAGGCCAATGGATGATGAGGGCCTAACCTAAAGCTGAAGCCATGAAGACAGAGAGAAGGAGAGAGATATTTAGGACCTAGAATTCATAGGACTTGGTGATCAATTAAATATGGAAAATGGAGGTGAGAGTTCTGGCTTGGGCTACTAAGTGGGTGTTGGTATTGTTACTTGGGATGAGGAAGACAGGAGGAGAAGCAGGATTTGTATATGTGTGTGTATATGTACTTGCCTTTGAATATTTATTAAAACCTTAGTTTGTATTGCTATCAACAAGACTTTTTATGTAACCATTACCCAGGTATGGAAGATATCAGCATATATAATTCCAGTTTTTAAGAAGCTGACATGTGAATCATTTCTCATTCATTCAGCAACTATGTATTGAATCATAGGCAGTGAGGATAGAAGGATGCTTTAGATGACAATTGCCTTCAAGTTGCTCGTGATTTAGTGGGCATGCGTGAGAGATAAATAATGTGAAAAAGATTAGTGATAGAAGTCTTTCCGTGGGAAAACAGAAATAAGGCTTCTAGCTTTGCCTGAGAATATTAAGATGGATCACCAAGAACAGAAGATCAATCTTGATGGGTGAGGATTTGTTGGGCTGGCACTCCAGGAAGTAAAGAGGAATATGCAAAATCATGGCTTCATGGTTCAATCAGATGGTTCACTCATTTATTAACTATGTATTTTATATCTACTATGTCTCAGTCACTGTGATGGGATTTGGGAACCTAAGGCAAGAGGATTCCTGCAGAACAGATAGGCATTAGAGAAGTCTACAGAATAAACTGTGATGAAACATCTTATGGGAAATATGTAGGGTGCTATGGGAATACAAAGCAGAGGTCCTGATCTAGCTATGGGACATAGAGAAGGACTCTAAGGAAATGACAAACTCAGAACTACAATGGTGTCATAGCTCGGACTGCTGTAACTAAATAGACTGGTTGGCGTAAACAACATTTATTTGTCACAGCAATGAAGGCTAGGAAGTCTAAGATCAGGGTGCCAGCAAGTTTAGTTGCCCGTGAGGACTGTCTTTACATGGCAGAGAAAGAGAAAGAGAAAGAGAGAGAGAGAGAGAGAGAGAGAGAGAGAGAAAGCACTCTGGTGCCTCTTCTTACAGGGACACTAATCCCATCGTGGGGTCCCTATCTTCATGACACCATGTAAACATAATTACCTTTCAAAGGCCCCACTTTCAAATAGCATCACATTGGGAGCTTCAACAGATAAATTTTGGAGGGACACAAACATTGAGTTCATGATAAATGGGTACAAGTTAGTGGAAGGAAGCAAGATGAGTGAGATAGGGGTTGAATTAATGCAAGTACGTTCCAAGTTATTCAGAGGATAATTAGGGAGGGCCTTGAAAGGCATGTTAGAAATTTATTCTAACAACAATGAGAACTCTCTGAAAGTGTTAAATCCTAACCCGAATATTAACTCTAACCTTGCTGTAATTCTAATTCTGATCAGATGTGTGTTTAGAAACATAACTCTGCGGTCTAGAGAATGGATTGGAGCAGGTAAGAGGAACGTAAGAGAATCTTCATGATGATAGATGAATTGTGGTAGGATGTGGGGATGATAACATTGAGGATGAAGAGAATTAGGTGAATTTGGGATGTGAGAATCAGGAAAAGAAAGGAATTAAATATGACTACCAGGTTTCTGCCTTGTGGTAACGTTTCTGAGACAGAGAATCCTGGCAGAACTTGAGGGCTTTAAAATATGGTGAATTCCCTTTTAGGCATGCTGTGTTTGAAATACCTGCACATAATTTCCTATGGCTGCAACATGGACTGCCTGAGGGAAAGAATCAGAAAAGAGGGAGTAGGCACCAGCACTCAAATCATAGAGGCAGCGGTATATATTGTTAGAAATGAGGAATCATTGAGGGATTCTCTGTAGGACACTTCTTGGTGTGATTCGTGGTTTAGAACACTTATTCTGGCAGTGGGAAGGCTGGATTATGGAGAGCTAATATTGGAGACAGTCAGCTAAGGAGCAGTTGCATCATGAAACATGGTGGTAGTAGGTTGAGCAGTAGAAAGAGGGTAAGAATTATATTTAAGAGATAGCTTCATAGTATTTATTGATAGAATATCAGGGTTAAAGGAAGAATTGAGAATGGTATCTAAATTTCCTTTAAAGCATTGAATGGATGATGGTGTCATTCACAAAGCAAGGAGGGGAAAGGCAGACTTCTGAACTTGAACTTATATGAGGACATGGGATGCTTTGCAGAATACACTCCAGGCAACAGCTGCTGGCTTCTGTGACATTGTCATGGATAGTTTTATTAATGCTGACTCATTTCAGTTTCTCTCTATAACTTCTTCTTTCTCTTGGTTTCTAAGGATGGACTTCTTCCTCTCTCCCTACACTATCCCTTGGAGAAAACCTTTTATCAAGAAGATACCAAATATCATCACTGATGTAAGTGCTGCAACTAAAAAAGGTTGACTTCTGTTTTATGAACTCAATGATAGCATTATATACACAACTACCTGGATTTTTTTTTCTTTTTGAGACAGACTCTCGCTCTGTCACCTAGGCTGGAGTGCAGTGGCGTGATCTTGGTTCACTGCAACATAAGCCTCCCGAGTAGCTGGGATTACAGGTGCAGAGTCTCGCTCTTTCACCCAGGCTGGAGTGCAGTGGTGCGATCTCGGCTCACTGCAAGCTTCGCCTCCCAGGTTCATGCCATTCTCCTGCCTCAGCCTCCTGAGTAGCTGGGACTACAGGCGCCTGCCACCACGCCCAACTAATTTTTTTTTGCATTTTTACTAGAGACAGGGTTTCACCATGTTGGCTAGGCTGGTCTCGAACTTCTGACTTCAGGTGATCTGCCTGCCTTGGCCATATTTTTATTTGGATGCTTTGCCATTTTCTCAGTTCAACATATTCATATCTCAGCTTTCCAGAATTCTTCCATTATGTCCAGAATCCTTATTTCCACCAAGTCTCTTAGTGCACTAATGTTCTTGTACTTGCACACATCTGAAACCTCAAGATCATCTCTGATCATTCCATAGTCTTCATTCTTCAAATTCAGGAAATCATGAAGTTCTATTTTTTTTCCTTTAAGATGCCTCTTATTTCAGTCCTTCTTATGTTGCTACCCCTAATGTTCTAGCTAATAGATAAATAGAAAAACATTCATTAAGGCCCTACTATGTGCCAGGTAATCAAAGGTGCTCAGAGTGTAGTGCTAGTGAAGGGACAAATGCATAAACCAACAACTACTGTTTAATATGATATGGAATCCTCATAGAGTACAATGTACAGTGGTGGCACCAATGAGAGAGTGATTAATTCAAACTACGAAAATCAAGGAAAAATGTACAAGGTATGGCATTTGGAATCCACTATTCATAGTTAGTAAGGCCAGAGTACAAATTGTGAATCAGAAAGTTACAAAGAATAAGGCTGTAAAGGGACCAAATAAATCATCCTAATCAAGAAATGCATCATACCACACCCAGATTGTTGTCCCAACTTTTTAGCTGCTTCTGATGCTTCTAGTTTCTCCTCCATCGGTTTAACAAGAATTTATTTTAAAGTGTATTTAGAATGAATTTTCAAAGCACTGTCATGTATGTCACCCATTTAACCATTACAACACTTCCTTGAGGTAGTATGCTCAAGCTAGTAACTTTCTCAATATTATATAACTAAGTTTGAACTCTAGGTCTTCTAAATTAAATTGCCAAATATTTGTCATTTATCTATGCATTTTGAGTATTTCTGCCAAAATGTCTATGCATTTTGTATATTTCTGCCAAACTAGAAATGCAATGGTTACTTACTGCTCAAAAACTTTCACTGGCTTCCAATTATCCTATATCAGCAAGAAGAGCCTCTTTGCTTGGTGTTTTCAAGACTATCCACAATGTGGAACCACCATACATATTTAATATTATTTTTTACTGTTCAGTAAACTGTGACTCTGTGTTTTGGTTATCTGTTGGTGCCTGACAAACTACCTTAAAAATAAGTGGCTTTAAACAACAAGAATTTTATTATATCTCCTGATTTATAGATCAAGAATTCAAGTAGGGCTTAGCTGGGCAATTATTCTATTCTAATTTGTACTGACTGAGGTCTCTTAGAATCCTGATGGCAGCTGGTCTGGTCTAAAGGATCCAAGATGGCTTTGTTCACATGTCTGTTGCCTTAACAGAGATGACTAGAAGGCCGAGCTCAGCTGGAACTTTTTGCTGAAATGCCTATGTCAGGCACCTCTAGCATAGCGGGAAGATTTCCTTTTTGGCTCCCAGAGTGTTCTAAGACAGCAAAGAGGAAGCTGCAAGACTTTTTCTGTCTTAGCCTTGGAAGTTATGCAGTGTCACTTCCACTACATTCCGTAGAAAAAAGAGAGCCACAATGCCAACTGAAATTGAGGATGGTATTGCACAAGGACATTATTACCTGGAAGCATAGTTCATTAGGGAGCAACTTTTGGAGATTGCTTTATACACACTTGGCTTTAGTCAAACAAATTATCACTGTACTAGCTCATGCCATGCTTATTCCTGCATCTGGACCTTTAACTGTGTTGATCTTCCCAAGACGTTCCTTCCCTCTCCTCCTTTGACTTTCCTAGACCCTACCTGTCCTTCCAGGCTTGTTCAGTTTCAACTTCAGCATTTATAATCTTTCTTTGAATACTCTAGTTCTTAAAAAATCTTCCCCATTTTAGAAATACAATAGCATTTATAGTCTAACATAGGAATAAAAAGGAGAAGACTGAGTTGGAGATATTTTTGTGGAAGAATTAACAGGGCAAAATGCCTATTTGGGTGTTGTAGGCTAGCAATAGGAGCCAGTGAGAGATGATATTGTAGCTTTGAGCCTTGATAGCTGAGAGTATTGAGCTACCATTCACAGAATCTTGAAACACCAGATGGACAGTGGGTATAGGAGAAAATGTAAATTCCTTTTTGAAATATGTTACTTTGGAGGCATAGTGGAAGAGCCAGGTAAAGGAATTGTGTAAGCAATAAATAAAGAGAAATGGAGTTTGGGAAAGAAGTGAGGATTAGAGAAGTAGATCTGAGGGCCTACAGGCAAGGAGATGCTAGTTGAGTCTGCGGGGTTGAATAAGCCTGCCAGAGGAGAATTTGTGGAGATGGAACATAAAATAGCCAAAAACAGACTTGGAGCAGAAAGAATATGATGATCCAGAGGAAGAGACCTGGGGGAGTGCCAGGGAGAGCAGATCTTCATAATCCTAAAAAGAAGGGAGCTTCTAGAAGGTGAGGATGATCAAGTGTTAAATGCTGAAAATGTGTTTAAGAAGCAGAGGACTAAAGAAGATCATGATCATGAGGTCACTGACTATGGATCTAGAAATTGTTAGGAGGAAGCCTGATTGTATCCAACGTAAGTGGGCCATGGGGTTAGAAGTAGGAAAAGTGAGGCCAGACTGGCCACTTTTTCAAGAAGTTTAGCAGTAAAGGAAAAATAGGATATCTTCTACAATAGAATTACAAACAAAACTTTTAATGATGACTGTTCTTATTGGATGGTAGTCATTAAGGAAAGTAATGTGTGTTTGTGTGTGTGTGTGTGTGTGTGTGTGTGTGTGTAGGTGTATACTATTCAGCAGTGTCTTCCAAGCCCAGATCTGCATTTAAACCACTGGAGGAACCAATCATGCTTTCTAAGGCCCAAATCAAACTACTGAGTGAGACTTATTTATTTATTTATTTGGAGACAGAGTCTCACTCTGTTGCCTAGGCTGGAGTGCAGTGGTGCAATCTTGGCTCACTGCAACTTCCACCTCCTGGGTTCAAGTGATTCTCTTGCCTCAGCCACCTGAATTACAGACATGTGTCACCATGCCCAGTTAATTTTTTTAATCTTTAGTAGAGACAGGGTTTTGCTATGTTGGCCAGGCTGGTCCCGAACTGCCGGCCTCAAGAGATCCACCTGCCTTGGCCTCCCAAAGTGCTGAGATTAGACTTAAGCCACTGTGCTGGGCCTGAATGAGAAATTTTGAGGCTGGGCCCCATGCATTTGTAGGTTAAAAAATGCTCACAGACTGACTTAAGAGTTTTGGTATACCCAGAGACCTTGAGCTTCAGAAAATAGTTGATATCTTTATGGGGGTAGGGCTAATATGCAGTTAGGTTGTCAGAAAAAAAATTGCAAAATGAAAACTACAATAAGAATTCAAGATGTGGCTAGGTGTGGTGGCACAAATGTGTAATCCCAACACTTTGGGAGGCTGAGGCTGGAGGATTACTTGAGCCCCGGAGTTCAAGACCAGTCTGGGCAACATAGTGAGACCCCTGTCTCTATAAAAAGTGAAAAGATTAGATGGGTGTGGTGGCACATGTCTATAGACCCAGCTTCTCAGGGGGCTGAAGTGGGAGGATCACCTGAGCCCAAGGAGGTCAAGGCTGCAGTGAGCCATGATCATGCCACTGCATTCCAGCCTGGGACATAGACCCAGGCCCTCTATCAAAAAATAAAATAAAATAAAATAAAAATTCAAGATGTAAAGAAGTAAAAATAGAAGACAAGTATCTCTAATTGAAGACCAACAGCTACAAAAGTTGTAACTTTATATAGATTTTCTTTTTTTTCTTTCCTTTTTTTTTTTTTTGCCTCAGCAAGCAACGTGGACAATTTTATGAAAATCTATCATCAGAATTCCAAGGCATGTTCCTTTCTTTTTTTTTTTTTTTTTGTTGTTGTTTTGTTTTTTTTTAAACTGGGCTGGGGGAAAAGGGTAAAAAGAATGTGATTTGTGAGGCAAGCTAAACCTCAAGAATTTTTTCAAACTAAACACTTTTTCTAACCATTTGATGTCTGGAAGTCTGGATATTGGGGGCAGGGAAATTAGCAGAGCTGTGGCTGTAGGACCATTTGTCATTTCCTGGGAGGTGCCTGTGCTTAACTCTTAAGGGAAGCACATTTGAATACGCTTCTGGGCTTTAACCAAGAGGAGGTCCAACCCTCCACTTTTTCTTTTTCAGATTGGTGTTTTCTTTCCCTACTCCTCAGTGGAAAAGACTGGCTTTCCTTGAGGGAGACGCAAATAGTAGTGCCATTTGGATGTCAATGAGACCAACACTGTTTAATGCCTCTGTTTTCACACTTTCTTGTGAAAATCCAAAACACAGAAACAATGTCACATTTTATTAATCATATTTAGATAGGAATGCATTCATACTGTTGTGTTGTGTGTATTTTCACAAGAAAATCTTTGTCAAAACTGAGTCTGGCCTTTGTTTTGAGACTGGTATGCCAGGAAAGGGTTACAAAATCCTGTTTCTTCTTGAAGTATAACAGCTGGTAAGAAAGCACAGCATCTCCCTCCCTCCCAGCCCTGGGGTTGTACTAAGTAACTCACTGCCAATACCATCCCCCATAGCCTCTCTCCGCTTAGTAAAATCCCTTGCAAAGTTGATATCCAGCAGCAAGCAAAGGAAGCAGCTTGGGCTCGTTAGCTTTAGGAAGACTGAGGAAAAGATTGTCCTAGTTAAGGAGGTTTTAAATGCAACAACTTGTATGAGATCTCCAAGATTTGTTGTTAGAGTGTTGTTCCTGAAAAGGAACAATTCAAGATAAGGAGTGGTCTTAGCCTTATTGAGAGCCTGAGTTAGAACTGGAAGCCCCAAACCCAAAATCACAATCAAGTCTGAAAGCTCTACCTCTTCAATTATGTGAACACCACTTGGCAGCTTTTTGCTGAATGCGACTTACAGTAGATAACAACTTCCATTGTCCCTCTAATCAATGTCTTACAGAACTGAGCTTGCTTGCTACAAATAAACAGGGACACAAAAATGAAGTGTCCGCAAAACGGCACACCCTTGGGTCAGCATAATAACCACTTAGGTTGAGGAGAAATCCACATGATTCATGAAGTCCTTAACTAAACACATTAAGAAACTATATATTACAATCTCCCCAAGTTGGAATAAGTGATTTAAGTAGCAATCAGGAAGGAGAGGTTGAAATGTTGATCTCAGAATGGCCTTTCTCTCTCTCTCTCTTTCTCTCTCTCACATAAATCGTCAGTGTGTAACCCTCATCTTTTGAATAAAATTAAGTCCCCGAGGAAATAAAAAGCAACTCATTTAAATCCAAGGATTGCCTGGGTGGACCCAATACACTCAAATGCTCATGTGAAAGCCACCAAACTGACTTAAAAGGCAGCAGTTGGGAAAACAGAGAGAGAGAGATCAGAAAAGTTTTATAAGTGCATACATTCTACTACAGAAAGGATGGCTGGTTTCTCTGATGAGGGCTGAGGGCAAACTCCCTCTGTGAAGGCGTCTCTCACCCTCACAGAGAGGGGTTGAGCCACGCTGGCTTCTCTCTGGAAGGGAGGGAGGTGGAGCCACCACCAGGCAAAGCTCCAGCTGGTCAGCTATGTGGCACTGCTGCTATTGTTGAACAAAATTCTTTCCTCATTACATATCTCTCTTCTCAATTTAATAGAAAGTACAGTTCTTGGGATTTTTCTCTTCATGAACTTGAAGGAAATCAGAAATGAAAAGCTTATTTTCTCCTCATTTCACAAGGAACTAACTTGCTGAATGTATACCCTGACACTTGTTTATATAACATGAAGTCTAAGGACAGAGAAAAAAACCCAGAAACTTGATCAGTTCTATAGGATGAACATTCAAGCACAATCCATAATTTACCAATGAGAAGTCTGTTAAGGTTGACTTGCTGTTTTTAATGGATTCCGATTGAGTGGTGCTTTGCTTTAAATTAGTTGTGTGAATTTAATGATCAGCCTGATATTGTTCTCATCATATATGTTAAGGGCAACTTCCAGAGTTGGGACATTAATTTTTTGGGCAAATTGTTAAAAACTTGGCAGGAACAGAAATGAGAGAGGGGTAAAATGCCCTTTGATCATCATTTCTTTCATCTGTAAATTGGGGGTAATATTTTCAAAGCCTATTTAATAGAATGATGAACAGAACCATTATTTGTGAATTCATCAATTGCTCTTGAAAGTCAAATGGAAGGTGAGAGATGAGGATACAGTTTCATTCTCCTACATGTGGCCAGCCAATTATCCCAGCACCATTTATTGAGAAAGGTGTCCCTCCTTCACTTTATATTTTTGTTTGTTTTGTCAAAGATCAGTTGGCTATAAGTATTTGGGTTTATTTCTGGGTTCTCTATTCTGTTCCATTGTTCTATGTGTCTATTTTTATATCAGTACCATGCTGTTTTGGTGACTATGGCCTTATAGTATAGTTTGAAATCAGGTAGCGTGATGCCTCTTCTCACTGATATGTGGGAGCTAAGCTATGAGGACGCAAAGGCATAAGAATGATACAATGGACTTTGGGGACTTGAGGGGAAGGGTGGGAGGGGGACAAGGGATAAAAGAGTACAAATAGGGTGTAATATATACTGCTCGGGTGATGGGTGCACTAAAGTCTCACAAATCACCACTAAAGAACTTATTCATGTAACCAAATGCCACTTGTACCCCAATAACTTTTGGAAAAATAAAAAATAAAAATATAAAAAATAAAATAATAAAAATGTTTAAAGAGAAAATCACATGTAAGGGTTTTGCAAATTATAAATCAGTGATTCCCACCTGGAGTGGGGAGAGTGGAGGAATAGAAATGTTAGTCACCTCTTAAGACTATAGCCAGATTTGAAGGCATCAGTTCATATTTTCCCTTAATTTTAGGTGTGGAGGCTTCTAATTCCTGGCTAATATGGTGACAAAATAAGATAGAATTTGCATGATATGCATGATCAATTATCATTGAGTTGGCACTGTTACGCATATAGGAATTCTGGGTCCCTACCCCAGATCTGCTGAAACAGAATTTTCAAGGGTTGGCCCAGCAATCTGTGTTTCAGCAAACCCTCCAGCTCATTCCAACATCCACTCAAGTTTGAGAACCACAGATCTAATCTAATCCTGTTGACTACCTGGTCATATCACCTACTTGAAAAATGACAATAATTTTTGTCTCTCAGCATCTGCTTCCTTCTTCTCATCCTCCTTTTCATGGTCACTAATCATTTCCTAGAGTACCTTTTTCATCATGCCATTCCTCTTCTCAGAATTTCTAGGAAGCCACTGATGACCTACCACATCCATTTCTACAGATATTGTAGCTAAAAGGGGCCCTTATGAGGAAGTCAGGCCATAAAAAAAAAATATTCTGAGGCAGGCAAGTAGGGTGGGTGAGTGTGACAAATCAGGTTATAAATCCTCTACATCAAATTGGCCTACTTATATCTAGTTAAAATATGTCTGTAGGCAGCTTTGGGAAGTGGGAGATACAGGAAAAAAGGGAGATGCCACGAAAGGAAAACATACAAACTGGGGTATGTCTTTAGAAGGGGCAGGGAGACTAGGATCCAAGCCACTGTATTTTGATATTTGTCATTGTCAGACCTCTTTTTTGTTCTTTCTTTCTTGGAACTAGCTCAGTGGAGTGTATTAGTTTGCTAGGGCTGCTGTAACAAAGTATCACAAAGTGGGTCGTGTAAACCAGCAGTCCTCAACCCTTTTGGCACCAGGGACGGGGGTGGGAGGGGGATGGTTTCGGGATAAAACTGTTCCACTTCAGATCATCAGCCACTAGTTAGATTCTCATAAGGAACGCACAACCCAGATCCCTCGCATGCACAGTTCACAGTAGGGTTCGCGCTCTTATGAGAATCTAATGCCACGGTAATGTTCTCACCCTCGGCTTACCTCCTGCTGTGTGGCCTTGTTAAAGGCCAAGGACCTTGGCCCCGGAGTTGGGAACCACTGGCATAAACAACAGAAATGTATTGTCTCACAGTTGTAGAGGTTAGAAGCCTGAGATCAAGTTGTTGGGAGGATTGGTTCCTTCTGAGGACTGTGAAGGAGAGCGCTCTTCCAGGCATCACTCCTTGGCTTATATTTGACCATTTTCTCCCTCCATCTTCACTTCGTCTTTCCTTTGTGCCTGCCTCTGTGTCCAAATGTCCTCTTTTTATAAAGACAGCAATCATATTGGATTACAGCCCACCCTAATGACCTCATTTTAAATTGATTACCCTTTAAAAACTATATCTCCAAATAAAGTCACATTCTGAGGTACTAGGGGCTAAGATTCAACACAGGAATTTTGGGGGGCACACAATCCAGCCCATAACATGGCATTTCCACCTTTTCCTGTATGCTTGGGTGGTCCTACAAGGAGTAGTTTATAGGAGGGTAGTGAGTGGAACAGGTGCCATGCAGAAAAAAAAAATAAATAAATTTTTCACCTAGGGAACAGCTCTTGGTTAACTCTAATTTTAAAAATGAAGAATGTCAACACCAAAGCTTCCTTTAGAAAACTTCTAGTCTGACCTCGTCATTTTGATGAAAGAACCCCCTCAGGGAAGGGGCTTGGCCACAGTTACAACTCCTGATCGGATTTAATCAGGCTTTGATTTCAACTCCATTGCTGATCCAGTAAACTGTTTCCCTAAGAGGTAAAGGGACAGACCCAAGGTTCCAGCAGAGCTTGGGACCACTAGACTCAGTTCTTTTTCCAGAAGTCTGTGCTCTTTCTGGTTAATGTATCCTGCAGAGGTGCCAGATATACTTCTGAGCACCATAAGGCTTTATGTTCTTGTGCTTAACTTTCCTAGGTCATTCTGCCTCCTGAGACAACTATTTTACTATGCACTATTGGAGGTTGCAGCGTTTTTTTCTCATCAAAATCTACTTTCACCATATTTTTACTGTGCAGTATTTGCTTGACTTTGTATCTCTTAACTTGTTGTTGGTTTGAACTCTTATAATAATGTTATAGCAGAAATAAAGAGAAGATTTGCCATTTCTAGTCATTTCTAGTAAAAAAGTATCCATTTTCTGCAAGTTGTCAGGAAAAAAGAAACAGATTGAAATAGCTTTTAATCTTTTAAGACACACAGCTGCAGAAAAAGAAAGAGTTGCTGATCAGTTTCTGCCCTTATAAAAAGTAGAATAAAACCTCATTAATTTAATCTTAATTGTGAGTTTTTGATTATATGAAAACATTGAATAACATAAATAAGATAACAAAGGGAAAGGTTAATTAGAGGAAAATTTTTTCCAAGTATACCAGAATAAAGCAGGTAAAGAAGTAATTCTCTCTTGTTAACAACTCTATCTCTAGCATCTAGCATACTGCCTGGAAAATAATACATGCTCAATAAGTTTGTGTTGAAAGAAAGAATGAATAGATGAATAAAAAGCAGATTTACAATATAAGCAGATATTGGCAATACTTGGGCTGGTGCCTGATCTGTTATTCTAATTGCAAATCTCGCTTCGTTATTTATTAAATTTGAATCTCAACGAAGCAGTTCTCAGTCTTGTTTTAATTACCGTAGCTTCTTTAAAGCAATAAGCCTGAATTTCATTAAAAGAATTACATTATCCAAACTTCATTAATTCATAGTTTTCTTTTCCTTTATTTGGTATGGCATGGTGAGGTCTAATTTCATTGAAATGACCCAGAGGGAAGTAAGCGACACCAAATAGGAGGCAAGAAAACTGATTAAAGAAAAGACTCCAATGTTTACAAGAATCCCTGTCTTCCTTTATGAAAGTCAACCTCACCTAAGCGAGAAAAAAACAAAATACATTTTTAGAGAATAAAGATGGATGAGTGTGGTTGTCTTTGGGGTACCTGAAAAATTGTTAGGAAGTATGGAAAATAATCACAGCTTTAAAGATAAGAATCATAAACATCTCCCCCGATACAGCAAACAGTGTCACCCATGTGGTGTGTATCAGTCCAGCTGGTTGAGTAAATCCTATCGAAATAGTACAATATTTCTTCCTCAACTTTACTTGACTCCAGAAGTGAAATGAATGCTTAAAATGTTGTCTTTTAAATATTGTTCAAATTCTTTATTTTAAACTTCAGTGTCTTTTATGTTTATGATTGGTCTAGATGTGTGTACATAAGTCTCCTTGCTTAATTTTACTGATTGCAGGGTCAAAACAAAATCGACATTCTGAGGCAAATCCATTTGTCATCTCAAGTGGTTAACTGAGATTGGCATTGGTCTTACCTAGCTGGGGCCTGGCTTTTTCCTTCAGTTAAGAGCCAATGCTGATTATAATCTAAAGAATAGAGGTGAGAGATGGAGAATAGTTGCCTTTGGCTAGTCTTACTGTCTATTTTATTTAGGTCTACTATCTGGTTTTCAGTAGATAACCACTGTTTTCCCTTATTCCTGGTATCAGGACTTATTTTCACATCTACCAGTGTTGCATTTTTCTCTGAAATGTTCACTATGGTATTGGCTTTTATAGGAATTTGTTTCTTTTTCCCCAAACATAAATGTGTTGTCCTCGGACCCATTTGCCTACGCTAAGCAAATAAAACTTCTCTGCCTCAGTAAACCTTTGCATCCATTATTATTAGTGATGACATGCTATTGGGCCTAATGAAAAACCACTACATAATAATTAAATTTCATAGAGAGGATAACCAGCAAGCTTTCAAAAAAAATTGCTGAGCATGATCAGAAAGTTGCATTTTACTGCCACAAAGTATTAATAAGAGCTACTCTTCATTGATAGTTCTCCCCCTTTCCCCATTTAGCATGCGTTTATGGTTAATCTCCACAACAACTTAAAGATGTTGAATTTTCTTTTTCATCACCTATATACAGATGAGAAAGCCTAGGATTCAGGCCAGATCGTCAATAAGTGGCAGAGCTAGACTCAGAATTAACTCTGCCTAACTCTGAAGCCCACGGTTTTGCAATAAAGAGCTGCCCCTCTATATGGTCTGTAATTCAGTGGTAAACATAAAATTTCTAAGCATTTAGATCACTGTAAATTGCACCTTTAAAATGTCATTTTCCAGAATGTTCATAAAAACCTCTATTCCATTGTGATTCATCCTGATTAAGTAAAAAACAGGAAAAAATCAAAACAGAAATACAGGTTTAATAAAAGAAAAAATATTCTCCTCAACCAAATGCCTTCGTGGCACTTGTAAACTTAGAGCTCTTTTGACTCCTGGCCAGAAATGAATAGGGTAATAGAAATGAAAGCAGAAACAGATGTGAGCAAGTCTTGGTGACCTGCCAAGGAAACAGTATGTTCTATACAGATGCAGACACAAATACAATGGATAAAAATCTCCTTAAAGCCATTGTTGTCTCCATTCACCAGGCACCAAACAAAGAGAAAAGTGCACATCGTTCATGGGTGACTTTTTAAAGCTTAGCTCTAAGGCTTGGCACACAGAATTCCATTTCCGTTCTGAATGATCTTCAGCTTCTTTTGCTAAGCATTATGGGACCAAAGTCTTAACCGATTGCAAATGTTTCTGTGGTAAACTTTTCCATAGGAGTCACCAGCTGGATTTAACAATGCTTATTCTTTCGCAGTAAAACTTGGAAAGAAGGAGTGGGTAACAACAAAATCTTTCTGTGGACATAATTGTAAGGAGTTGTCAATAAATTTGTTTTCTCTGTTTTTTAAAGTGCAGGGTGCTCAAAAGGCACAGGTAAAAGAAAAAAAAAGTACTTGGACTCTAATTCCTTCTCAGCGAGACTACTTCCAGTGGTTTAGGAGTGCAGCTCAGAAGAAGTGTGAGTGGTTTCCAGAAAAAACAGTATAAGTAGCCAAACCAAGCAATCTACTTAAAGTTGGGCACAGCAGAGCTGGAGGCCATTAGGAGTTTGAAGCAAGAGACATTCTTTTCCTTCCTTCCCTGACTGGTGGACCTAAGTATTGAATTTTAATAGAGAATCCAAACCTGACTAGATAGCTGGGAAAGAATTGAATGCTTAACAGTTAATCAGTGCCGTCTTCTGTTGTGTATCTTCATTAAGAATTGAGATTCTTTAAAATAGCCTTTCCCATCAGGATTAAAAGACAGAAAATCTATTATCACTATTTCTGGATGTTCCTTCTTATATTTCCCAGGAGTCAAAAGCCTTCATTAAAACACACAGCCATCCTCATATTGGACTTTCCTGAGAAGAGCTTTATTATTTAAGGCATTTTTTTTTTTTTTTTTTTGAGATGGAGTCTCACTCTGTCGCCCAGGCTGGAGTGCAGTGGCGTGATCTCGGCTCACTGCAAGCTCCGCTTCCCGGGTTCACGCCATTTTCCTGCCTCAGCCTCCCAAGTAGCTGAGACTACAGGCGCCTGCCACCATGCCCGGTGAATTTTTTTTTTCTATTTTTAGTAGAGATGGGGTTTCACCGTGTTAGCCAGGATGGTCTCGATCTCCTGACCTCGTGATCTGCTGGCCTTGGCCTCCCAAAGTGCTGGGATTACAGGTGTGAGCCACCATGCCTGGCCTATTTAAGGCATTTTGTGAGTAGAAAGACAGCAGGATTTTCCTTTACAAAGTAAAATTATAAACATGTAGTATAAGTAGCATATCCACCTAAAATATTTATTTGTGTTTTTTTTCTACTTTTCAGCAAAGGTGAAGAATGAGGTTATTCCTGACATAAATCATTTTTCTTTATTTTCCAGATAATGTCAGAGGAGGCCACTCTCTATAGCCCAACCTCCAGGATTTCAGCACTTCGTGGACATGGAGGCTGGTGTGTTTATTTTTTACATTAAACCTTGCTATTAGGGAGGAAGCCTAAATGTCTGATGGTGGCAATGTGTTCTTACTTGCATTAAGGGAGCTCACTCACTTTAGTGTTCACCACATCCGTCATAGCGCAGGCCGGAGATAGGCTCTGTCAAGCTGACTTGTCCTTGGTTCTTCCTGCATAATGCCACTTCTTGTTTGTGGTCTGTGGAATTCCTCTCCTATCTTGGCATTTCTCTCCAGAGGTCAAGACCTCCTCCTGGAGGCTTCTCTCTGGCAGGGACTCATGAACTGCATCTCTCTCTCCATGTATCTCTTACCTCTTAGGTAAGACTAGTAATGCTTTAAGTATGAGGTCTAGGGCAAACTCAAGAAGAATACACCTTTGAATCTTTTCATATAGTACCTAGGTTGAGTTAGTTTTGAGAATTAAAGAGGAACTTAAAGGGCAGAGAAGGTTTTTCTCACTGTAAAATTTTGACACCAAGTAGATACTATCTAATCTACTCAGCTCTGAGTTTAGACCCTGTAGTGACCTATAAATTCCTGTGAGAATCAATCTCATAGAGGATTTTCTTGCAGGTACTGCGATTGTCAGCCTCAACTCAATCCATAGCTGTGGACATTGCATATCTGTGGCTTGCATTATTTGTGTGATTGTGGCACATTTTTTGGATTCTAGATTGGGGGAAGCACACTTGAAAAGATGAAAAGGTGGATAGCAGGTTTAAAGAAAGGGAAAAATTTGGAAAACTAAAACAACTTCCCAAAGTTACCACACTTTCCAACTAGTCACTATTCAGCTTTAGACCCTGTTTAAATCAAGTTTTTGAATGCTCTGTCAGCACTTTTACATTAATGAAGCGAGATCCTCACACGTACCAGTAAATGCTCAGCTTTCCTTTCATGCTGAATTCAGTTTAACCTCTCATCTCTTACCCTCAAAAAGGTATATTCTATATCATACAGCATGATCAGGTCAGCTCAGCATCCTATCGATGTACATGATGATGATGGTACATCTCCTCAGTGCAGCAAAAATACATTTTGCACATTGAGCTGATACTCTACAATGATGAAGAGTTGACCATACACCAGTGTGCTGCAACCAGTTGAGAAACTGCCCCAGAAAGCCCTCACTTTCTGACTATTTCCAGCCTCAGCTTGAAGGTCTATTTCAAATGTAGGCATTTGAGTGGTAAAAATCTATAATTTTATGCATTTTTCTGTTGCTGATTCTTATGAAGAACTATGAAGGGTTGGAGATTTTATCCTGCTTGCAAACTAACAAGTAAGCCATCCACATTAAACTTTCCACAGTTTCATGAATACTAATAGAAAACACAAGACTCCTGGGTCAGAGACAAAGGATTGTTTATTATTTACGGTAATAGTATCGGTCAGAGTAAACATTTTTTGATACTTCTCTGAGCCCCATAGAGTGATGTAAAAACGGGCCAAATGACATTTGCACGTGCAGTGGGTTGGATTCTAGGAGAGGAAAACTGAATTTAGGGAACCCAAATATTTTACACTGGGCGGTAAGTTTTCCTTTATTTGCTTGTAGGGAGGCATCATCTCTCTTTTACTGGATGAGAAACATGCCTGCCCTTTGTTCCAGAGGGATATACCATCTGTTTCTTCTAAGGCTTTTCACTATATTAACATTCTTGAAAATATAGCCTAGAATAAAAAAGCAATTGGTGTTTCTCTTGAAAAATGTGTAGAAATGTGAGACCCACAAAGAATTGTATCGTAACAATTTTGTACTTCTAAAAGAACTAGTAATGATCATTTTTAGGGTAAAGGACAGCTGAATATTTTCCAGCCATAATCCTAATTCTATCCTAGGTCATGTTATGTTTCTGTAGGATTGTTTATACTGGTTTGGGAAATTAAGGAGGAAAAGAAAGGGATGAGAAGAATTGTGCTTATGTGCTGAATATATTCAAGGACTAAGAACTTGTTGGTTCTTGGTAATGATAAGTAGTGGAAATAAATGATTCTAAATGGTGACCTCTCTTTTCTTTTTATTGCTCCTGAGTCCATGCCTGAATAAAGTACCAGTGGATAGTGTTAAAAGAAAAATTTCTGCTGAATTCAATTTAAAATAGTTTAATTGAGCAAGGAATGATTCACGAATCAGGCAGCCTCCCGAGCCAGAGTAGGCTCAGAGACTCCAGCACAGCCATGTGGTGGAAGAAGATTTATGGACAGAAAAAGGAAAGTGAGGTGCAGAAAATGGAAGTGAGGTACAGAAACAGCTGGATTGGTTACAGCTTGGCGTTTGTCTTATTTGAACACGGTTTGAACAGTTGGCTACATTTGATTGGCCCAAATTCGGTGACAGGCACAAGAGCAGGCTATGGTCTGTTTACACCTCCACTTGTTATAGTTCATGATGTACAGAGAAACCTTTAGGGCAAACCTAAAATGTGTAAGGAGGCAGCTTTAGGCTAACCTTGATTTAACAGTAGTATATTTCGGCTGTCATCTTTCCAGTGTTCAAACATTACCCAACTACTGTAAGATCATTAAAATTTTTATACCATCCTCCCCTGCAAACTGGGGCACTAACTTTACTACTACAGCTGGATTCAAACTTTAGAAATTGGTTCTGTAATTGTCATTGGAAAAACATCCATTTATAGACTGGAAAGAAATTACTGTTTTGGCAGGTCAGAACTTGTAACCTCTTTACTAATTAAAAATGATATAATGAGTTCTAAACTTCAGCAGACTAAAAATACAAAGGAAGAGAACTTTTTACAAGTGGAAACATTAAAGGGGGTTCATATGGGGGGTAAAGAAAGAATAGCAATTAAAATAGTGTCTCCATTTCAAAGGGGCTCCAGGTCAATCTCCTCTCTGAATGAAACAGCATTTTCTCAGTGAGCTGTTGGTCTAGTGAGCAGTTAATTTTAAATAATGGTTTTGTATGTTCTGGGAAATGTAAATAGCAATACGAGAATTATCTCCTTCTCCTTTTTCATTATATTTTCCTCTCTCCAAGATGGATTGTATTGCAAGGTTAGAATGCATATGGGGCTCTCTCTGCTAACCAAAAAAAGCTGCTTGATGAATGCTCTAGGAAAGCACAGCTTCAGCAGATAAAAAGAATGGCAGGGAAAAAAGATAAAAAGAATGGCAGGGAAAAATGACTGCATTGCAGTCAGACAGATTATTTTCTCCCCGAGGTAAAGGACAGCTTCAACCTTCTTTTTTTTGTGAGCTTTCTGCCTGCCATTACTCTTCTTCTGGGTATCCACCATGAAGTAAATAATTTCCAGGTGGTTTCACTTTGGAAAACTAAAAACACCCTGAGAGAATTTAGAGAAAACAGACATGCTCATCAGAAATGATGATAATAGGAAAAATTTTCAGATAAACAGGGTTATTTTTTAGTATAAGTATATTCCTGTTTTTTCTTAAATCTCACAGGCCCATATGTTTATTTTTACTTCTTTTAGTGTGACTACTAGAAAATTAAAAATTATGTATATGACTCATATTTCTATTAGATAGTATTTCTCTATAATAAGTATTGTTAATATGACTTCCCTAGAACACAAACTTCATGAAGGCAAGGGAGGTTTTTTGGTTGTATTTGCCAGCAGAAATGTAGCTAATTTTTTGACTGTAAGAAGTATAACATGCTTTTTCTTGAGAACCAAATTGATTGGTTTTGTAAGAATTGTTTAATGTTGGAGGTCAAAAAGCTCAGGTATCATGGTTCTCTCCAGGATTCCCTGCATTCTCTCAACCCATTATTCCTTTCCTTTCTTAACTTCCCTGCTCAACCATGAGTCCACACACTATTATTTCAGGAACACCATGTCCAGTATCATTAATGCATTCTCCTATGGCTTTTCATTGTCTTCAATGAAACATGTCACATGTCTCTTTAGGTTTCATTGGAGAAATAAGGTCAGTACCAGATTAACCCAGTGATCTGCACTTCCTGTGGTTGCATCCAACAGTGCAAGGTGACATTGGATCTACTCTAAGTGTACAGTCAACAACAGTAAATGGATCTTTCACATTGCTGCATCTTTTGTTCAACTCCCACTCCCATTTTCTGAAAAGACTTTTTCAAACTCTCTGTTCTTCATAGTCCTCCAACTTTTCTACTTTTTTCATTGCTCTCAGAGATGTTATTTTCAAGAGAAAATAGCAACTGTTATATAAGATTGGGATATCTCATCTTCCCTTTTCCAAATATACGTAACTGCCTACATCTGTATCTAATTTATTCTCCTTTCCTCTTGTTTAATAGAAGAGCTGTTTGCATCCTCCCAACACTAACATATTCAGTTGCACTTTAGATTTGTACGCCATCTCCACCTCTGTCTCCCTTCCTGCCCCACCCCCATCCTGCACCACCCCCATCCCCACCATTTTATAGGGGAATTGGCTTGTACGCATCACTGAAGTATAATTATTCTTGCTAGATCAACCATAGCCTCTGCCTCTCTAAATCCAATGGGCATTTCCAGGCCTCCTCTTACTTGACCTTCCTGCGGCATTTGTCATCGTGGATCATTTCTTACTCTTCTTGACTTCCTGAACACAATCCTTTTCTGTTCCTACCTCTTCATTGACTTATCTTTGTGGGCTTCTCCTTCTTTCTTTTGACATTAAATACCAGAATTCCTCAGTGCTTGAGGCTGTTTTTTCCTTCAGTATCATGATCTTATGCTTTCTCTTCATGTCTCTGGCTTCCATTACTGCCTATATGCAGATGACTCACAAATGTCCAACGTTAGCTCACCCCAGACCTATATTTCTCTATGACAGTGCAAAACTGATGTCTGAAAAATACCTCAGGCTCATTATATCAAAATTGAATTCTTTTTAACAATCTAATTCTCCCCAAACCTGGTTCTTTAGAAGCATAATCTGTTTCCATGAACTCTGCCCTCTCACCTTCACAAAGTTCACACTTGCATTGCAGTGGGGCATCTCTCCAAGCCTCCTCTGATGTTTCCCCCAATAAATTGATTGCACATTTAATTCCATCTTATTATCTGTTTTTTGCACTAACATACAAGGCAAACAGAAACCTTCATTGGAGGATGAAGTAACAAAGATACAGCTAATACTATAATAGATCTCATTGATCTCAGTATCTTCATTAAAAAAATATTTATTTATTTATTTTTGAGACAGTCTCACTGTATTGTCCAGGCTGGAGTGCAGTGGAACAATCTCAGCTCACTGCAACCTCTGCCTCCTGGTCTCAAGCAATTCTCCTGCCTCAGCCACCTGCGTAGCTGGGATTACAGGTGCACACCACCATCACTGGCTTATTTTTTTATTTTTAGTAGAGATGGAGTTTCGCCATGTTGGCCAGGCTGGTCTCAAACTCCTGATCTCAAGTGATCCGCCTGCCTCAGCCTCTCAAAGTGCTGGGATTACAGGTGAGCCACCGCACCCGGCCAGTACCTTTATTTTTATAGGCAAGGATGTTGAGGCTTAGAAATCCTGAATTGGGATGGAAATGAAAAAGACCTATCATCTTCAAAATCTATAAGATAGGCTCTGTTACATTACCTCACCTGTTTCACAGCTGGTAAATGTAATCAGGTTTTTTTAGAGGTATTTAGTATATCTATTTCAAATATGTTTTTAGACATTTTCAAAGATTAATTTTAATATGATCTTTAATGATATGTGACATACACAAAGAAAACTGTATGAATCATAAGTGTCCAGAACAACAAATTTTCACAAAATAAGCACAACTGTATTATGATACCTTACAACAAGATATAAACAATCAGCACTAAAAATCACCCTTGGGCTCCCCTTCAGGTCATCACCACTCCTTCCTTTCTACTGGAAACCACCATCCTGACTTCTAACATTAAAGGCTAATTTCTAATTTACTTTCATGAAGTAGCTCAAATAACATTAAAAAAATAGATTTCACTGTGCCCCAGAAAAATAAATAAATGTACCTACAGCAATCCACCATGAAAACCTCAGAACCCATTTTGTTCACTATTTCGGTGCTGGAGTCAAGCAAGATCTTTTCCCTACTCTGATTTGGTAATACTTTGTAAGACAGACATGACATCTTTGCCAGAAATTGGGTGTGTTCATTCTGGTGTGTCACCTTGGAAACGTTACTTAATATCTCTAAAATTCATCATACTCATCTCTAAAATGAGGACAATAATGTTACATACTAACATTTCCATCATCATGGAATAAATTAATGCATACAAAAGTCATATCATGGTGCATAGAGCACAGTATAACTTCAATGAATGCTAGTTTTGTGGGAATTATTTTGAGAAATAGAGTCTTGCTCTGTCACCCAGGCTGTAGTGCAGTGGCACAATCATGGCTCACCTCCTGGGCTCAAGCAATCCTTCCATGTCTGCCTCCTGAGTAGCTGGGACAACAGGAATGTACTACCACATCTGGCTAATTTTTAAAAAAGCTTTTGGTAGAGACAGGGTCTCACTATGTTGCCCAGGCTGGTCTCAAACTCCTGGCCTCAAGTGATCTTCCCTCCTTGGGCTCCCCAAATGCTGGGATTACAGGTATGAGCCACTGTGCCTGGAACAGGAGTTATCATTAGTGGCACTATATGTGGAATTTCATACCGAAACCTTTCAGAGGCAATGTACTTAGTTGGTGACTTCCTATACAGCCTTTGGCAAATGACTTAACTTTTGAGTGTTTAAGTTTTGCTTCTTTTCTAAGAATACAAGAAGTAAGAAAGAATTAATGAGTTGTTTTTGAAAGTATTGAGCCCTACAGATAAGAAAATGAAAGATGCTTTTTAAGTATGCAAAATAGCTTTTTGTTTGAAAGCACAGCAGTTTAAAGACTGCTATCCTCACTATCATCATGAGAGATTGTCTTTTTGAAAGCGTTAATGTCATATTGACTTTTGAAATCCTTCAAGAATATTTGGATTAGATTCTAATATAAAAATTGTCTTCATTCTAGAAAGAGAAATAGTTAGAAGAAATATATAGAAAAAATAATCTAAAATTAGTTTCTTCTGAAGGAATGAGGTAATGAGGTTAATAATCACCAAGGCACAAATATACATATAAGGCTAGTTATAAAAGGGAGGGTTTGGGAGGCACAGAAGAGTAAAGAATCCTGGGATCCAGTTCCTTCTTTTTTGCTATGTAGTTGCATGACCTTGGGCAAGTCATGTTACTTTTTTAGGGCTCAATTGCCTTGTCTATAAAATGAAGTTTTTAGCTCAATAACTATGCTTCTATTGGGCATACCACTTTTTATAATATCTTCCAAAAAATTTATTTTATTTTATTTGGTAATTGTTTTATTTTAGATTCTGGGGATACACATGCAGGTTAGTTGCATGGGTATATTGTGTGATTCTGAGATTTGGGATACAAATGATCCTGCCATCCAGGTAGTGAGCATAGTACCCAACAGTAAATTTTTCACCTCTCACCTCCACTTCCCCTTCTAGTGGTCCTCAGTGTCTGTTGTTGCCATCTTTATGTCCATGTTTTCTCGATGTTTAGATCCTGTGTATAAGTGAGAAAATGAGGTATTTGGTTTTCTGTTTCTGTGTTAATTCACTTAGGGTAATGGCCTCCAGCTCTACCTCATGTTGCTCCATAGGACATAATTTAATTCATTTTTATGATTATATAATATTCTATGGTGTATATGTGCTACATTTTCTTTATCTAATCCACTGTTGATAGGCACCTAGATTGATCTTATCTTTGCCATTGTAGATAGCATTGTGACAAACATAAGAGTGTATGTGTCTTTTTGGTAGAAGGATGTATTTTATTTTGGATATGTATACCCTGTAATGCGATTGATTGTTGGGTAAATTGGTAGTTCTGTTTTAAATTCTTTGAGAAATCTCCAAACTACTTTCCAAGGCAGCTGAACTAATTTACATTCCCACGAACAGTATAAGAGTTCCCTTTTCCCTGCACCTTCACCAGCATCTGTTTTTCTTGTTGTTGTTGTTGACTTTTTAATAATAGCCATGTTGGCTGGTGTAAGGTGGTATCTTATTGCGGTTTTGATTTGCATTCCTCTGATGATTAGTGATGTTGAGTATTTTTTCAAATGTTTGTTGGCTGCTTGTATGTCTTCTTTTGAGACGTGCCTGTTCATGTTTTTTGCCCACTTTTTAATGGGATTATTCGTTTTTTGCTTGTTGAATTGTTTAAGTTTTTATAGATGCTGGAAGTTAGACTTTTGTCAGATGCATCATTTCAGAATATTTTCTTCCATTCTCTATGTTGTCAGTTTACTCTGTTGATAGTTTCTTTCACTGTGCAGAAACTCTTTAGTTTAATACTAGGTCTCACACATCAATTTTTGTTTTTGTTGCAATTGCTTTTGACGAGTTAGTCATAAATTATTTCCTAAGGCTGAGTTTAGAATGGCATTTCTGATGTTTTCTTCTAGGATTCTTATAGTTTGAAGTCTTACATTTACATCTTTAATCTATCTTGAGTTAATTTTTGTATATGGTGAAAAGTAGGGGTTCAATTTCATTCTTCTGCATATGGATAGCAAGTTATCCCAGTATCATTTATTGAATAGGGAGTCCTTTCCCCATTGCTTGTTATTATTTTTAGTAGAGACAGGGTCTTGCCATGTTGCTCAGGCTGGTCTCAAACTCTGGGCTCAAGTGATCCTCTTGCATTGGCCTCCCAAAGTGCTGGAATTACAGGTGTGAGCAACCATGCCTGGCGCCTCCATTGCTTATTTTTGTTGACATTGTCAAAGATCAGATGGTGGTAGATGTGCAGCTTTATTTCCAGGCTCTCTATTCTGTTTAATTGGTCCATGTGTCTGTTTTGTACCAGTACTATGCTGTTTTGTTTCTGCAGCCCTGTATTATAGTTTGTAGTCAGGTAATATGATGCCTTTAGCTTTGTTCTTTTTGTTTAGGATTGTTTTGGCATTTGGGCTCTTTTTTGGTTCCTTGTGAATTTTAGAATAGTTTTTTCTAATTCTGAGAAAAATGACATGGGTAGTTTGATAGGTTTAGCATTGAATCTATAGATTGTTTTGGGCAGTATGGCCATTTTAGTGATATTGATTCTTCCAATCCATGAGCATGGAATGCTTTTCCAGTAGTTTGTGTCATCTATGATTCCAGCGAAATATTTTAAACATATATGCTAATTATTGATGGAACAGAGATTTTTGAAGGATGCATAATCATAATCAAAGCAAAGACTAAAGACCAAATCCAAAACTCTGTGTGTGTGTGTATGTGTGTTAGTGGTGGTAGTTCAGGCACTGGAGAGAAAGGGGCTTAAACAAAGAGAAAGATGTTACAGTAGATGACAAGAGAATGAGTGTTTATAATGTTAATTCTAGATCTCTTGTTTCTGACTGTAGCTTCAACCTGAGAGTCCTCAATTTGGAATTAAGACAAGCAGTGTGACACAGTACAAATAGGCCTGAAAACACCGTGAGAAATCTAGTTTCCAATCACTGTTCTCAGTGATTAGTAATGTGATATTTGACATGTCATTTCACCTCCTGGGTGTTCTCAGAGGTAAAAAGAGGTGGCTGGGCATGATTACTCAGGTCCCTTCCAGTCCTTAAAGACTGAATTCTTAAGAGGAGAGTGACCAACTTTACTGTGGTGTGGGTATTGGGTGGAGTGGCTTCATGGCATTTTGGGATCAATCTGAAGTTTGTAATTAAAGAAGAGTTCAGGAAGAACTATGTTACTTATTTTTAAAGGACATTTGAAATATTTCTACCACAACTTGTGTCTTAATCAGCTATATTCACAATAATGCTATATACCAGCCGCTGCAAAATTCAGTGGCTTCTAACAAAAAAGTCATTTCTTTCTCGCTTGTGCTTCTGCAGGTTGACTGAAGTTTGGCTCATGTAGACTAGACTTCGTTCCAGGCTGTGGTTAGCTTTGGGTGTCTCTATGGGACCAGTGAACTATCCTGGGTATGTGGACTGACTCAGGGCTATGTAGACTTGCAGAGGGAAAGTGCAATTGCTCAAGCAAATTTCAGTTTTTCCACCTAGGTTGTTTTTGCTAATGTCCAATTGACCAATGTAAATAATATGACCAACCACATAGTTAAGGGGCTCAGTAGTACATTACACATCCATAAGACCATGGCAAGGGTACAGATGTGTAGCACTACTAGAGGAGAGTAAAGAATTTGGGCCGATAATTAAAATTTTGACAATGTGACCTATATGTATATGGATGTGTAATGGAACAAGGAAAGCAAACCAGGCTTCTGGTGGGTTAGGTGAGAGAACAGCATAGGTTTGAGTGGGGAAGGATCTAGGCTCTCTAACTCCATGTCAATAATTGACTAACTTGTATAGACCTAAGTTCTATACTCACTAGTGAAGTAGTTCCTTATAGTCTGATTCAGTGATGCTCGTAATGAATTTCTATAGAAAAACTATTCTTTTCAAAGTCGATGATGACCTCCATTTTACCAAACCCCATAATCAATTCTCAATTCTCACCTTATTTGATCTATCTGTGGCATCTGATATCGTTGAACACTCTGTCTTCCAGGTACATTTTTTCACTTGGCTTTACTTCTGCTTGAAGACCATTGCTCAGAACTAGTGACATGGGTTCATCCAACTTCAAGGAAAGCTAGCAAATTAAGGGAAGAGCAGGTATTCAGGGAGCACTGACTGCTTCTAGCACATGCTCTGAAGGATTCTCTGAACCTGCTTCATTTCCCTTGGTTCCATAATTTTGGGGTGTGCCTCCTGGCATTGCATCTCTACTATATATTGATAACATTCTCTAAAGGTAAGAATTCTCTAAAGAATACATGGATAAAATGGCCCTAAAGGGAACATAGAAGGAATAAGAAAGAAGCAGTGAACACATATATGGTACTGGTAGTATTTACTAGCTGATGACCTCAGCAGATTATTTAACCCCATTGTGCTTCAACTACCTTGTCTGTAAAGATAGGAGTGATAATAATAGCACCCGCCTCATAGGATTGTTTTGAGGACAAAATTAATGTACATGAGACACTTAGAACAGTGCCTGGAACATGGAGAGCACAATAAGTCCTAGCTATTATTATTTCATGAACAATTAAATTCTGAATAATAGAGAACTGAAAATAAAAGTGATTGTAAATTTATAAAATTTTAAATAATCTCCTGTATAAACCCCAGACTAATGAAGAAGGTTCTCATTTTAATATGTTTTATTACAAGGATTATGGAAACCCATAAAAAGTAAACACAGAATGTGTTCCTTCCCTGCACATGTGGCACTTTGGCTGGAGGTAAACATTTTGTTTTTGGAAAAGCTGAAAAAGAGCAAGGCAAAAGAGCCAATGAGTAGAGGGCACTTAGGATGTGTTTTGGAATTGCACGCCATATTGCTTTATTGAAACTCTCATTCAGTATCAACGGACTGTGTGATGAGGGTCCCCAGGGCGAAGGGCCCCATCAGATGCTTTCAGAGAACTCAGGCCCGCCCCTGCTGATGTGGCTCTGTGATGATGGCTTGTCTTCTAAGTTGTCAGCAGGAAGACATTCTTGCTGCCTTCTTTCCCTCTGCATTGCCAACAAGGAAGAACAGCCGGGGAAAATGAGACAGAATCTTTTTCCAATTACATAGTATGCATATTTTATTTCAGCCGCCGCCTGTGAGAAACATGATCCTGAGTGATTTAGTGGTGCTGAGGCAAAGCCAGCCTATGAAAGATTTGGAAGTACATTGGTAAATTTCCAGAAGATTATTTGGGTGAAATGGCATGGTAGGTTAATTATCAGATTGAAAGCCTTTTAGTTGCTATAGAGGAGATACCACAGTCCCAGATACAGTCCCAAATTACTCTTAGAGCATAAAATGGTAAAAAAAAAAAAAAAAAAAAAAAAGTGAGAAATCAATGTGGGTTTTTAGACTCTAATTGTTTTGAAGGGGAGAGGGCAGAGCTTTTAGAAGACAGGTGATTTACTTGGTGGCACTTAGCTGCTAACTTTCACTTTAAGTAAGGGTATATGTGAGTTGACTCCTCATTCACATCTTCATATAACTCTTATTTCTTCATAAATGTTCCTCAAGGAGAAGGCCAAGTTGAAATTTTCCTTGTGCTGAACTAAGTAAAACATCAGCCAAAATTCCAGCCAACAGTTTTTGCAAAGGCATAACTTCTGAACCAGAGTCTAAACAAAGTGAGTTATGTTTTATCTTCCTATCTCTTTCTCCCTCAGGTCTTATCACCTTTGATCCTCCTTTATTTCTTTACCTTGGATAAATCATTTTTTTTAATCTTTCTTTCTCCTTTCTCCCCTTCTTGTCTGAAAAATCCTTTGATAGCTTATAATGGAGCAGAATGCCATGCTGGGCAAGAGGTGGGAGGTGGAGGGAGATGAAATGCAGAAGACCTTTTATCTCTTCCCAGGAAATATGCAGACTTCTGAGGGTGATGCATGTGTAACATACCTTTACAATTTAGGGCATCTGGATTGGGGGTTTTTGTCATGCTGAGGTCTGGAAGGTCTCTCCCAGGCCTCTTGATTAGGGATATAGGCCAGTATAAACTCCAGCTTTGCTACTTACTAATTGGGTGACCTGGAAAAAGTTACTTAAATTCTTAAAGGCTAGTTTTTCCAATCTGCGAAATGGGTATAATACCTGGTTAGTTGAGGAGCATTAGTAAGGAGGGGATTCAAGTACACAGGAAGACGAATGAGCAGCCTACTGTAATAGTAATACTGTAGTAATGCAGGCAAAATGAGGATCTGCAGTAAAGAAGTATGGACAGTACTAATGGGAATGAAGGGGAGAGTGAAGAAATATCAGATTGATAGAAATAGAGCTCTTAGGTACCAGTTGGAGATGAGAGGGAGTGGAGGAGTCAATGGTAGGGATGATTTTGAAGTTTCTGACTTTGGTTTTTGGTGATGCCATTAACTGGGAATAAAAATTCAGTGCAGGCCAGGTATGGTAGCTCATGCCTGTAATACCAGCACTTTGGGAGGCCGAGTCAGGTGGATCACGAGGTCAGGAGTTCAAGACCATCCTGGCCAAGATGGTGAAACCCTGTCTCTACTAAAAATAAAAAAAGAAAGACGGACATGGTGGCGGGCACCTGTAATCCCAGCTACTTGGAAGGTTGAGGCAGACAATTGCTTGAACCCAGGAGGTGGAGGTTGCAGTGAGCTGAGATTGCACCACTGCACTCCAGCCTGGGTGACAGAGCGAGACTCCATCTCAAAAAAAAAAAAATTCAGTGCAAATATAAATATAATCTATTTTGGGTCTTTTGTTTCAAAGCTCTTGCAGAATATTCATGTGGAGATGCCCAGAAGGTAATTTGAAATGTAAGTCTAGAGAAGTCATCAAATATCAACATGTATTTACTGAGCACGTAATATGTGCTAGATAATCTGTGAAACACTGGATATAGGATAGTTATAAAAAGACTTAATTACCACTTTACTTTCTACTGGAGGAGAAAGATGTAAAATAAATACACAGTGAAGTATGTAACTAAAAATATATGCTATGGAAAGGAAAATCACAGGATGCTATGAAAATATCTAGCAGGATATGCTAATTTAGACTGGGAAGTTTGGGGAGGTCTCTGCAGAGACTTAATCTGTGACTGAGAATGAATTAGAATTAGGTGGTTGTATTTTACTCCTAGACTGTAATTTCCATGAAGGTGGAAGCTTTACTGTTCACTGTTCTATCCCTAGTGCTCAGAGCAGTGCCAGGCATGTGGCAGTCTTTTAATCTCTATTTGTTGAATAACTTAATGAAAGAACAAGTAGAATGGGTGAATTGAGATTTCCCAGGAAGAATACATAGAAGGTGCTGAAAATTGACCTCCAAAGAATAGACAGAAAAAAAATGTGACGTTTCTGGAGGAAATAAGTATTGGACAGATAAGTAAAAGAGAAACAGGGTGTGTCAATTAGAAACGTATTTGGCTGCAAGTAATAGAAAACCTGAACGTAGTGGCTTAAACAAAAGGAGTTTCTTGTTTGTTTAGTTCTTTCACAAAGCAAGAAGTCTGAACATGGATAGTTACGACGAGTGCTTAGATTACCACCATCAGCCCCAAGTTTTGCCATTTTCTTGACCTGGATGCAGGTTGTCAGCTACAGCTCTGGTAATTATGTCTACGTTTTAGCAGAAAGAATGAGGAAGTGGAAGCAGTGATGCCTATATATTTGTGGAAACATTAGCGTAGATTTCACTTTACATCTAATTGGTCAAAACCATGTCACACTGAAAGCTGGAAGGTAACGAAGGAGAAGGGGTTGGAAATGCAGGTTGGAGCACTTTGCCAGTGGTGTCTGCTATATTAGGCAAGAATAATATCTTCAAAATCAAGAGAGAAAAAGTTTCAAGAAGGCAAAGTGGCAACAAAATCAAATATCACAGAGGTTGAGAAAGATGAGCTCTGAAACAAGACTATGGATGTGATATTTTGAAGGGCAGAGACCCTGCCCATTATGCTCTTTGTTGTATTCCAGGCACCTTCTCCAGAGCCAGGGACAGAGTAGGCAATTAATCACTGACTAGGGAAATTAATCTGGTTGCGGTGTATTAGATGTATTGCATGCATAAAGGTCTATATTGATCATCCAGTATAAATTAAATTCTAATTTTCTCTAAGTAAATACTTTCTGGAAAGAGTAAGCATCTAGAGAGTTATCCTTCATATGTGCATCAGAAACCAGTTAAAAGGAATAGACTAGAACTTAAAAAATATTTCCCCAAAGCTCAATGAAACAAGAGAAGAGAACTACCTGGAAGAATGTCCTTATTTCTGTAGTTTTAGTAGCTGTTTTTGGTAGGTACAGATGGTTTGTAGTCACAAGAAAGATCTTTCTGCATCATTATAGTCATTTATTTATGCTCTCTTTTTATAGGAAAGATTTAAAGCAATTTTTCATCTCATAGGATGAGAGGGAAATTCCTATGAAAGGCATTTTTGTTATTGAATGTGTTTAATTAGTATCTTATATTTGCATAACACTATGCAATTTACAAAGCACATTAACTACATCATCTCATTTGATTGTTTCAATTATATAGGGAGGCGATTAAGGCAAGTATCACTAACACCCATTTTATTGTTGAAAAAAATTCAAGAGATCTTAGGTAAGTATTTTACTCCAAATCATATATATGTGTAATAAGAGATTGAGCCAAGAATTGAACACAAATTTTAATTCCTAATTGAGTGTTTCACCAAATAAAGTTTGCTCCCAAATACGTAGAATTAGTTAGGTAGTATTATTGTGTAATGGAGAAAAATCATCACGTGAAACCTCAAAATCAGTAGCTGCTTCTGCTTTCCGCCTTGTATGGGTGGCAGTGCATACTCTGTATCAGTAGGTAAATAGAGTTTTGAAATGCTTCCTTTGCAGAGACTGCTAAGAAAGGATGAAAGGGAACAGCCATTCTGTGTTGATGAGAATATTAATTGCAAGGCATGCCTTATCCAGGAACCCTGTGTTATTAAACAGTGTTCTTCATGTAGAATAACCACGACCATAACTCACCCTTTTCCACTGGAGACTCACATAGCTCAGCCTGCCTTTCATTTATGGCATTCTCTGTACATAGTCAAGTCTTACCTATGCATTATTTTGCTTGAAAATAAGAACAAACTTCACCACAGAGATAAATTATGGGTGTACAAGGTAGCTTGATTTGATTTAAAGCCTGAGTAGAATTTAGCATCTCAGGATTTAGCATTTTAACTCTTCAGGGAGCATGGTTTTCCTTGTGGATTATTCTGTTTTCCTTCCGATTTTACATTTCTACTTCAATTTCAAGATTGGTTTTTACCTGATTTCCCTCCTTTCTTCTGGAATCTTCAGCTTATCACCATATGCAACTATTCCATGTACTTTGAGTCTTTTGAGGGCAAGTGTTGATATATTTATTTAAATCCTTTAAACTCCCTACCTCATCTTGCTTGTGATCAATGAAATAATAATGGACACACCTTCTTAAGAAGAAAAACTAACTATAAATCTACATGTGGAATTATAATTCCAGTGTTTTATTTTGTGAGGAAAAAAGATGACAAAGAAGAGAAATAACTCACTATTCTATAAAAGATACTTATATGGTAAATTATTGCCCATTTGATTTGACAAAGTCTGAGTTTGTGGGCCTTGAGGCTGGGAGCAGTTCTGAGCTGCCTGAGAGATAAATGAGAGCTGCTGATCCAAGTGAGCAATGGAGCTGAGAGACTCACTTGTCACTAGGTGACTTTGTATATTATGACTCTGTGTGCTTGGAGAAGCCTTGCAGGTGGACATGTGCAATAAATCAAAAGTAAGCATATCCGGGAGAGAACAATAGCTGTGTTTACACCCTTACCAGGTTATGTTGACCCTCCCTAGTGGGCCTTCTAGAAGTGTTAGATTTGAGGACTTGCTAATAGTTTATCTGAAACAGCTTTTGAATTCATTTATAAAAGTTTTGAAGATTTATTTTATACTTTTTTTCTAGGGTTCAAGGTTCAGTGCATTCTCTCATTCACTCAACAAACCATTTTTGATGTTTTCAGTGGGCCAGATGCTGGCCAGCAGGATGCAAAAATGGACTAGGCACTGTCTTTATAACTAAGAAATTTATAATCTAATAAAGAAGGTATAAGATCCATGGACCATGAAAGAAAAAAATAGTGCAGTACAGGAATATTTATTAATAACATTTTATATATTAAATAGTTAATAGATGGCATACTGGAATAAACATGAGGAGTAGGAATTTATAAAACAAGCGGGCAAAAGAAAGGAAGGCTCAATACAGATATACTCCCATTCTGTATTATTGATTCCTTTCATTTGCATAACACTTTTTTGAAAATAAATTGATTGCTTGTGGTGACATTCTGCTGAAATTAGTCATAAGGAATCAAAAGAATAATGAATTTGTTCAAAAAGCAAGTACAATTATTGGAGTCTACAAATAGGCAAAATTCAGCCACTAAAAACTGATGAATTGGTTTATTTTTAACTGTGTTTGCCCATATTAGAATGTGTACAATTTGTGGCACTAGAATTTGAGGATAATATAGAGAACTTGGAAAGATTCAGAATTAAAGCTCAAAGCTATGTTAAAAATAGGTCCTTAATGCAACAGCACCAAGTGGCTTGGGAGAATTTAACTTTCCAAGCTCCCTAGATAGAGATGCAATGTAAGTAAACCAGTGCTTGACACCCACATGCAGCTTCAGGACAAAGGTTGGCATTCTTTCCAATAACCAGATTATTATCCCCAAAGCTTTTTTTTTTTTTTTTTTGGAGACAGAGTCTTGCTCTGTCGCCCAGGCTGGAGTGCAGTGGTGCGATACCGGCTCACTGCATGCTCCGCCTCCCAGGTTCGTGCCATTCTCCTGCCTCAGCCGCCGCAGTAGCTGGGACTACAGGCGTGTGCCACCACGCCTGGCTAATTTTTTGTATTTTTAGTAGAGATAGGGTTTCACCGTGTTAGCCAGGATGGTCTTGATCTCTTCACCTCGTGATCCGCCCACCTCGGCCTCCCAAAGTGCTGGGATTACAGGCATGAGCCACCGCGCCCGGCCTAAAGCTTTTCTAGCAGAAATTCTGGAGCCTCGGAATGTCCCTAAGTGATGGAGAATAAGATTTATATGGAAAATCTATGGGATTTTCAACATCTGCTCTGCCCTAGGTACTCGAAAATATTTGTCAAAATGAATGAAGGTAGAGATGAGAAGTGACTCAAAGACTAACTTAGCTACTATTTCCTATATTTCCTCTGTACCTCTTTTGGATTTTAAATAGAAAATTATTATTCATTTTTAAATATTTTTAAGAACTTCCCTCTACCCACCCTACCCCCCGAAAAAATTCAGTGTGCAATATATACGATTTGAGGTATATACATAGAGTATTTCCTTACTGACCTGTTGGACAAGAAGGAATAGGTTAACTTATAGAACCCTTTTTCAAAGAGTAGCTCTTCAGTAGTCTGGGATAGTTTTCAGGAGAATAACTTGAAGACCTACCAAAGTCTCTTTTTGTCTCACAAGTAAAAATATAGGACCTATCTTCATGTGGAAAACTTAATGATAGCTGAGTAAATTACAGATTCAAGGAATCATGAGGATAAAATAGCCTACTAATTAATCTCCTTGCAAACAGTCTTCATTTTCTTTTTACACATATCCCCCTGTTTTATTAACATCAGTCTCTGAAAGCTTTTCTTTATTCGCTTTAACATGCCTTCATTGAAGACCTTCCGTATATGAGATCCTATTGCTAGGGGTTGTGGGAGAAGACAAAAATTATTAAGAGATGGTTACTCTTTTCTTTTAAAGAGCATACAACCCTATTGGAAAGGAAATTATGACCTTCAAGGATCTTCAAGGCTGAAGCTCATGATTTTTAATAAACTTCCTTATTCAAGTATTAATATCTAATCTTTTATGATATTGTATATCCATGTTTCCATTGTTCTCTGCTCCTTTCCCCATGCAGAAAAATGGATGACTTAGGGTCACAGGCTATTTGGTCAGCACAAGTTTGGCTGTAAATATTTCCATACCAACTTACTACACTCTCTTTCTCTCTCCCCCTCTTAAAATTTTACCTATATTAAAATTTGGAGGTATTTATTTTGTGGTAGCCTAATTCTGAATAGTCAGTTTCTCTTCAGAATGCAGTAGTATGTTGAAGTGAAACCATATTTTGGCTTTCTACAAGGGTGTGGGCTTCTCCTTGGGTTTTCACATTTTCCTTTGTGCCTCTTGTGAAATGGTTTGTGGAGACTGCAAAAAGCAAAGGCAGACTCCTTGCCTCACTCCGCCCCTTTCCAGCTCATCATATTCTTATATAATCCAAGAGAAATCTGCTTTTGGTTAGAATGCAGTTGAGGGCAAAGTAAAAAAAAAAAATTTGGATACGTTAAATGTTCCAAGTTTGTATGAAAGTTCTGTCAAAGCAACAGCCTAAATGGAGGCAGCTGGAAATCATTAAGGAAACTTGCAGGAGACAGTGATTAAAGCAGGATGGAATTTCCACTCTCCCCGCCCCCTCTCTATTTTTATGGTACTTTAAGCAAGTTAGTGTTCCTTTTGAAATTTGAATTAGCCCTCTGACTATGAGAGTTGGAAAATTATTTTATTCCTTTACTTCCTAGAGACCACTCCACTGATTTCCGAGGCTGTTACTGCAAATGAATAAATGAACACATTTGGAACTAACTGGTGCTCAGCAGCGGTGTGCCTCATATTTCATGATTATCCTTGCATCTTCCTGGTCTGAGTCTGATTTGAAATGATAACCACTGAGTAACATTAAGAACACTTTGTGGCTGCTTTTCTAGTCTTATATGATAACTGAAGGGTACTTTTTAAGACCCCAATTTTTCCTTTCCTCCTTTCTCCTTTAATGGTTGCACCATTTTTCATCACAAGAAATAGTTGCAGATGAGTGCCTCCTAGTTCTTTTTTTCATTCCAACTTTCTATGGGTTCAACCGCAAGGCATACTGGGATCTCAGCAGCAAAGGGTGATGGGACAGGTAGAGGCTGAAGGCATAACTGGGAAGGGCTGGGATTCCTCCCTGTGGGTGTGGCATGACCAGTTTTGATGTGGGCTGGTGTTGCTACAGAGAGGTCGAATCTGGTCGTTGGGGCAGAGTGGAGGAAGCACAGAGCTGGACAGAACTTCATGTCAGGTGATGTGCATTTGAGAGTCTAAGAGATGAATCTGTCAGGAAGGTGACCCTGGCTCATGGTAGGGCATGCGGGCCAAAGAATCCAGGTCTCTGTGGGAAAGCAGGTTACCATTACACAAACTGGTCAGTTAATAGTGGGCATGAGAAAAAAATCATGATGGGCAGGGGGTGAAGAGTGAACCCAACCCAACATCAGCTGGTACTGAACTCAGGGCAGCAAAATGAATTTACAGTATTTTTTGCCTGCCTGAATGAGTTAGTTGGGGACTGGGCTTCAGCAGGTAGGGACTGGAGAACCTGGACAGAATTTTCTTCCACTGGACTACATGGACATCAAACAATTAAGTGCAACCATTCCCTCATTGTTCGTGGAGTGGAATATCTACAGTAAGACTAGGAAATAGAACTTATTGGAGGTTTTTTCTTGATGTGGGAAAATAACCTCATTATAGTGAACAAGCAGGTCTCCTGGAATGAAATCACATGACAGCTTTAATCTTTCCCCTATTTCTTTTAGCCCACTCAGTAGGACAAATTTTTTTCTGTTCTTGAATGAATTCCAGGAATGGCACAGTGGCTTTTTTCGATCACTCCACTTTCAGAAAATGAGAGATCCTTTGTGCTCTTCTAGTCACCCAGAAAGTTTTATTTTGGCCCCTAAAATGTCTACTTCTATGTAATACCTTAATAGTAGTCAAAGTTGAGGCTTCTCATTTCATTTAACGTAGGTCTGCAAGAGGTGGTAGCCTGAAGTGGGAAGGGCAGACAGGATGATCTCTGTCTCAGGCTCCCCACCTCCTGCTTCTGTGCCTCTTCCTCCTCCTCCTCCTCCTCCAGCTTGCTAATTGCAGTTTCTGACCCCTTTGGGATTGGAGGGAGCTGAGAGAGAGAGGGGAGGTAAGAGAAAAGCAAAGGCATTAGTTGATCACCACTGAAATTAGTTGATGTCTCTCAACTAATGATGATGTGCTCTCTGGGCTTGGCAGGTGTTTAAAGCTGACACTTTCTCCTGGCAAACTTTGGGGCATTATTTGAAAACTTTCCACCCACCAACCCTGAATCACTAGGGTACCTAGCCTGCAGTTCTTTTGATGTTCAGGGATGTTCCTCCCTATAGTTGCTCACTTACATGATAGTCTCCTAGTGCTACACTCCTGTGTTGGGGATACTGTGTGCCTCTAGGAAGTTATTTTGGGCAATATTTAGAGGACCTCAAGGTTGATTCTTTTCTGTTAAATTCATATAACTATGCATATTCTTTACCTCAAGAAATTCTGTTGTAACCTTTCTTCATGTCAGCTTTTCTTTGTCTTCCATCAGATCAGAATTACTAGTCAGCTAGCATTTCCCCATATTCTTTTGTCCTCTGACAGTACCTGGGGCACACCTTGAGCTCTCTACATGGTCCCATTGAAGCCACATTCCCTGGGCTTGAAATGAAGGAAAACACACCTAATCCTTCTCCCCATGGGAGTTGTGTGGGACTCAACACTCATTAACAGCTCCCTCACAAAATCCACTTTGTAAATGTCAATTTCCCTTTCAGCCTTTATTCTCCTTCATAGGCTGGAGGTGGGTGGTCTGGTCTGGGTCAAAAAAATTTTTTTTTGCTTTGCCATCTCTTAGCAAGCCTTGTATAGATGGTATCAAACTTCTCGATGGGTTGAAGGAATGCTTAACACTCATTATCTTGAAGCCACTGCACAACTAAAGAGAAATAATCAATTTTTTAAAAAATCTTGTTAAAACCTGATTCAGATATTAAGGGTTTATTGTTTTCTTGTAGGTAGAATCACCAAGAAAGAATGAGAGTTTCCTTTTTCCTCCCAACTTTATTACCTTTGAAGACTTTTTAAAAAACAATTTAACATATGTTCTTTATTTTCACAGAAGTCCAAAGTGCCAAGCTAAACCTCATATATGAATCTATTATTAAGACATAACTTTTGCTAAGACTAACAAAACAAAACACTAATTTGGCAGAGGTCTTAAAGTCTGTAGTTGAGTAGACAAACTATTAGATTGATTAAAGAGATTGTCACACAAGGACAGTCTCCTAATTTGCTGAGCATTGTATCTCAAGGTTAAAAAATTCTGGCTACATCTTAAAGCAGGGAAGATCAATTAGAACATTCATTAGATTCCTATTTACACTTTAATTGTCAACTCTGCTCATTTGTTGGAAGCCTTTTTTAGTCATTAGTGTCTGTCAGTAAGAAATATGTCTTAATTTCGCTTATATTCATTTATTCATCCTTTCATTCAATCAACAAACATTAATAATGTGCCAAGCCCTTTGTCAGCTTTTAAAAGTATACTAATAAAAAAGTCAAAGCTTACCCTCAAGGATGTATTCACCTCAAATTCTTATGTAACCAAAATTAGTAAAAATGTGTTACGTTTTACTAAAGTTAGAAAAATAATTGCCTTTCACAACAGAAATATATAAAGATGACCCTAATAAATGTACATACTGATCATTCTTTTCTGCTTGTGGTTTTAGCCCATGATTCAGGTTTAAAATATTTAAGGGTGCTTCATTTTGGCTGTTATTGGCCTTGCATTCTATTGTATATTGGGTAGCTCTTGAGAGCAGGCACTGTGTGTCTTCATTTGGTCTCTGTAGGACCACTAGAGGGTTAGTATGCCCCTCATTTTCTGTTCAGGAGAAGAAGGGGCCTACCTCACCATTGGAGTGTAGAGAGTGGAGTCAGTTAAATTTTCCAGATTCTAAACAAAGTGGTTCCTGAGTACAGCTGCTGGTGGGACTCTCACAGAAGTGAATCTTCAGAGGAAGAATATAAGCTCTCCGAAATCATCTACATGCTATAGGCACACTTTAACAGTTTTCAGATGGCTGATCTTAATGTCTAACACAAAGTTTTTGGTGTTTCTGGACAAGATCTGGGCCAGGAATTAGGAACACAGGAACTAGGTCCTGCTGGGTGCGTGGCCCACACATTTCTGAACATTTAGCAGTCAGACTGCAGCAAGAACTTTTTTCTCTTGGGGTATAATTCCAGTGATAAAATAATTTTGCATTAAAGGTTGAACGCTAATTGTTCAATTTGCTCTAGTACATCTAGTGCTTTCTTGCACCCACAATGGTACCAGTCACTGTGAAGGTTACCGAAGACACATTGACCATAGTTCTGTGTATTAGAAAGGCATATAACAACAGAATATGATGGCCAGAGGGCCAGTCCAGGAGCCTACCAGCTGCTCTGCCATGAACTAAGTATGTGAAATTGGTCATGTCATTTCATTTCTTTGGGCCTCAGTTTCTTTTCTTTCAAGATATATTTATGTTATTTAATTTGAAATATCTGGAAATATTTCAAACACAGAAAAGTACAACAAATACTATAACAAACACTCATATATCCACCAATGAAATTTAACAGTTGTTATCCTTTTTAAAAAGGGGTGAAATGTTACAGAAAAAGTTAAAATCCACCCTATCCTATTTTCTCTCCTTCCTATCCCAGAGATAACCGCTGTCTTGAAGTTGATGTGTGTTCTTGCTACCCAAATTCTTGTAATTAAAAAAACTATCTAGAGTACTATTTATGTGTTTTTAAATGTAAACAAATTGTGTCATATTGTTTCTGTGTTTTTGCAACATTTTTTGTTCACTTAATATTATATTGGTAAGATGCATCCAGGTTGATACTTTTGGTTTTATTTATTCTTTTTATCTATCTACCGTACCATTAAGTAAATATACCCCCAAATTTTCCCTTTCTCTATGCTTGAAAATTTAGGTTGTTGCTGCTTTTCTACTATTTCAAACCATGCTGTAATGGACATTGTTGCTTACAGGTCTTCTTGTGCACATGTCTGAAAGTTCTTTAGGGTAGAGCTTCCTAGGTTCTCCAATGGTGTGCTCAGACTTGGTGTCACTTTGGGTCTCTGGAAGAGCAGATGGAAAGATGAGATTAGATGTTTAAGAAATTTATTTTGGAAAGTGCTTCTGAAGGAGAAAGAAAGAAGGATGTGGTAGCAAGAGTCTTGAGATGTCAACGCAATTTTGACACCTGTGAAAGAAGAGAGGAAAGGGAGTGTTGGATTGGAAAACTCAGACCCCAGCACAGTTCTGAGACGATATACCCCAGGTTCATGGGAACTCCTCCACCAAAGGTTGTTGGTTGGAGGAGTCCAGTGTCAGGTAGGAAAGGGCTAGCTCTACTACCCTGTGCTATGCTCAGGCATGGGCTAGGGACAGCTAGGGAAAGCATGAATCCCAAAGGTGACAGCTGGAGCTAATAATCAGCTAAGTTGCCAGCATAGTTTTCTTGAAGGAAATCTTAGCAACACACCTGTACGGCCAGTGCAGATAGTGATTGCCTCAGCCCACAGTGGCTGAGAAGGGCAGAGGCAGCCAGAGGTCTGACCAATTGTGAGGTCCCAAACCTCTAGGAACTGTGGCAGGGTTACTTGGAGCTTACCATTCCTGCCAGAATAAATCCCTCTCTCCTGTTGGCTCTGGGGATTCCTCTTTGTTTCTTTGGAGGTAGACTATGTATTGAACACTCTTTTTCATCCTGTTTTATCATGTATTTCTATATGGCTGAACAGGAACAGGTTCATGTTTCCTCAATTCTCCACGTTATCAGAATTGAAAGACTTCATTTTCTTCATCTATAAAATGAGAGTCTCAGACCGCAGCACGGTCTGAAATCAATGATCTCAGGCCACTTTCTGCTTTATTAATCTGATTCTAATTTTATTTTTTAAAGTACCAAAACAAGTGGGCAAATCAATGATGTTCTATGGAGTAATGTAGTCAGAGATAACATAAGGGAAAGCTAGAAATACAAGTCTTGATTGGAAAATGGGAACAGCATGAACTGATAGACCATTTACATTTCACAAAGTAGAGGTATTATTTAAGTCTTTTAGTAGACATCTTTGAGGATAGGGTTCCTGGCTAATTCACCTTAGTGTATCTGACCCTAAATACACTGCTTGGGCCATAAATTATTTTTTAAAAAGTGTATTAATTTGAATTTAGTTGAAAGAAGAACCAGCACTATTGTTCATTGGAGGAGAGGCTTAGTTCTGCATTTAGAGACTTATATTTTACATTTTAATGATATGTGTAGGTAGAAAGGGTAAAAGTTAGAGTAAAAGTAGTTTATCTTAATATACATATATTGGGTAGAGAACTAAGCTTAAGTAGTGACGGACAAGAAGGTAGAGCTTGGACCAGGACTTTGGGGTGAGATGATCTTAATTTCATTTTAGAATAGTTGGTGCGATGGAATTCATCTGACAAAGTTATGGAAAGGTAGACAAATTACTGAGTTCTCTGAAGAAAACGATACAATGCTCAAACTGTCTATAATAGCAACAACTTATGGGTCTTTCTATATATGGCTATTCAAGTCATTTTCTGACAACAGCCAATAATATTATGGAAATGGAGGCAAATGGTCCCAGACTGACCAAGTCTTAGATACGTAATTTGCAAAATTCACCATTGTCATTGAATCAGATGCCACAGAGGCTAATTTTCCATCTTTATGACTAGAGTTGCCCCTTCCTCAACAAGTCTGTTTTAAAAACTACACTTCCTTTGTTCAGCTGAGTCACAAAGACTTTTCTTCGGTAAATGTATTGTACATTAAAAAACTGATCTCTGTGAACTCAGTTTTCTCATTTAGTAACTGTAGCATTGGTGTTAATGTCAGTATAAGTCTGGTTGTTATAACCAAAGCAAGAGGATGTCTCTCAGTGAGTTCACATGTATTTGAGTCTGGTGATTTAGGATTCTGGGATTTCCTATTCTTTCCTAGCGTTTATAAATTCAGCTTCCATTTTCAGATTTCCAAAGGCCACTTGAGGCTTTAAGTAATTCCTCTAATTATAACTTAAAGTATAGGCAATTGCATTTCATGAAGCTAACAATTATCCAGAGTATATTATTAGAGAGTGAGTTATTGAAGTCTGCATAGTTTGTGAAACACCCATGAAAATAACTGGGGAAGAAAAGAGATAAACTAGATTGGAACAATGAAGCTTGAAAACAACTCTGATTATGTCTGGAGTTTACATGGTAATGAGTCCTAATTCTCAGGCTTTAGAATTCTTTGTAAAAATCTTTATAGTCTCTCTTGCTTGCCCTTATTCAGAAATAGAGACGTTGGCAACGTTTTCATTAACTTTTAAAATATAGACGCTGAGTGCTAATGTGGCAGCTTACTATGCTTTTGCAGACTGCGTTTTATGTAATTTTAAAAATTTCCCTGTGACATAAGCAACAATGCTCCCTTGAGAATGGATGCTAAGGGGGTATAAGCAATTTACCCAAAATCACATAGTTCAGAAGTAGCAATGCTGAATTGCAACCCAGATCTTCTGCTCTAGAATCTAAACAAAAAAGCCCATTATGTGATCATATGACTAGAATGGTAGAGCAATTTTTCAGTATTGAGAGGCATTTTTCAGATGATTTTAAAAATTTGAGTAAGCAAATACTCATAAGAACGACATCAGAAAATAAATACTTTGATTTAAGAATCAGTGCCAATGTGTGTGTGTGTGTGTGTGTGTGTTTGTGTTTTACTGACCCATTTTTTCCTAGTCATACTCACATGTCCCTATAACTTAAGGATGATGATGATTCTGGCATAAAGGAGAGATGTATTTGCAGTCAGACATGGTTTGAATTCGAACCTTCATTTATTAGTTACCTAATCTTGGGCAAGCTCTTTGGTTTACTTACTTGTGAAATGGTAAAATAATAATAATAATAGCAACCCAAAAAGATTTTTATAACTGTAATTCAAGATGAGATTTGGGTGGAGACATGGCCAAACCATATAACTGAGCAACTGGGCAGTTTTCAGGGGGGTAGTAGGCAACACGTGGCTTTTCCATCTGTAGCATTCCTTTAAAAATATAAAATAAAAAGCATAAGTTACCTCAGATATGATGCCTATTACAATGATGATTTTATAGCTAACATTAGTTAGCATTTATTGAGCACCTGCCATGTGCCAGGCATAATGAACTTTGCATAATTTCTCAGATTTCTTATAACAACCTTGCTATGGACTGAATCATGTTCCCCTACATTTGTATGTTGAAGCCCTACTTCCCAATGTTGTTGTATTTGGAAGCAAGGCTTTTATGGAAGTCATTTAGGTTAAATGAGGTCCTAAGGGTAGGGCCCTGATCCAATAGGATTAGTGTTCCTATAGGAAGAGATACAGAGGGCTCGCTCTCTCCATCATATGAGGACACAGTGAGAAGGTGGGCATCTGCAAGCTAGGAAGAGAGCTCTTACAAGAAATTGATCCTGCCAGACCTTGATCTTGAACTTTCAGCCTCCAGAACTGTGAGAAATTAATTTTTTTTTCTAAAGTCACCCAGTCTTTTTGTTATGGCAGCCTGAGCTGACTAATGCAATCCTTTATAGATGAAGAACCTAAGGCTTACTTAGATCACTAAGTTAAAGAACTGACAGTATTCTAATCCTGTTTTTAACCTCTCTGTCTTTTCCAGCTCAGGGTGAGATTTGGGGGCGGGGGACTGCTTTGTTATTTTTTCTCTAACCACAAGTTTGCTTCCATTTTCCCCTTCTATTTTTGTAGTCTTTCTTACAAATTATTCTCTCAACACTCAGCACTCTCAATTTTCTGATTTCTTCCAAAATCGTATCTCCCACCCCCATGCAAGCATTTTGTTATTGTCTTGTGTCCTCTCTCATCTCTTCAAAGTGTTTTCTGAAAACTGTTTCCTCTCTCAGCCTCTGAGGTTTTTTTCTCACTTATCAAGTGTATCTTTCCCTATCTCTATTACAGTGTTGTTTCCTCAATGTTTTCACTTAGATAAACATCTCCTGAAAGACATTGGCTTTTGTTGTTTTTGTTTGCAACTTTGGGAAAGTTCTTGGTGATCTGAGGTGAGAAGTAATGAGAAAAATAGGCAGATAATTTGTCATTTTCCTAAGTCAAGATTTAGTGATTTAACCTCCACTTACTATCCAGTTTTTAAATAATTTAAAGATGATTTATTTTGTGTTATTTTTGTAAAAAAGCATTCTACCCATTTCTCTGCTAATTTAATTATGAAGCAGTTCTTTCAAATTTTGAATTCTCCACCTGTGGGGGTGCAAATGTCCCCATAGCTTATAGAATTGCCAATATCATGACACACGGTAATGAACAACAGACACGTTTTAGTCTTGAATACCCAGGGCCATCCTACTGTTTACATTACTCATTTCTCTCATGTAAGAGAAAAATAAAGATACTCCCCATAGATCTTCCATTTTTACCAATTTTGTGAGTCATTCTTTCTTTCCTACTCTGTTACCTAACCCTGTAATAAATCATCAGGTCTCAGAGCTACAACTTCTTAAATACTGTGTCTCTTGCAATCAGTCTTGTCTCTGGTCCCTAGTCCCTTGCTGTTATCTCAGGCCTTCTTATTGCTGACTTGCTGCTCCCCTCTTGTGTTTAACACTTCCATGACTTCTGGAAGAGAGGATAACAAATGTACACAGCAGGGCACACGTTGTCTTTCAGGCTTAGTTTTAATCTATAAATTCAATCTTAATCTTACCACCTGTCCTTTCTCCAGCCCCATCCTATGCCTGGAAATTTTGAACAATTGATCCATTCTGCATGCATTGCCAACTATTTGGCAGGCCATCTGCCAGACCTTGGGGATACAATGATAATCAAGATAGATATAGTCTTGTCCTCCTGGAATGTGTAATCTACAGGAAACTATGGAATAAATCCACAGAGGTTAGACTAGAGTGTATCAAGCGCTACAGTAGAGAAGTTATGGCATGCTCTCAGGGGATGTAGAAGTAATACCTAACTTGGACTTGAAGAGGTCAAAGAAGACATGTTATATCCAAGTTAAGTCCTGAAGGTTGAGAAGTGCTATTCAGGTTTCACCAGTGCTTAGGAGTTGAGGACGAGGAGAAACTGCTTCAGGCAGAGAGAACACCATTTTCAAAGGCAAGAAAGAGCATGTAATTCATATTCAGAGAATAGTGAGTAGTTCATTGCAGTTACAGCAGAAGTGGCTGAGTGAGCTGTGTTGGAAGGTGAAGCTGGAGAGATATATTCTTTAACAGTCAGACCCGTGAGGCCATTACTTAGGCTGTTCCTTCTGTTGGAAATGTCCTTTCCACTCCTGTCCACCATGCAGCCTCCTACCACTCTTAGACTCAGCTTAAATATTATCCCCTCTGTACAGTTCTCCCTCCCCTTGCTCAGGGGTACCATTTTTATCTAACTCATACTTGGATTTACACTCATATCACAATATCTGTCTCTCTGACTACAGGGTCAGCTCATGGAGGGCAAACTGGATAATTTATTTGTCTTTATATCCTCCTTGTTTTAGCAAGGAAATGATTATGAAGGGGCCTGCAATCTAGAACATTTGCTAATGTCATGCTTTTTTAAAGTGTCCTGTTTTTTCCATGGGTAATAAAACTTTTTTTAACTTAAGTCTTGGGCTGGGGTTGTGTAGGTGCGTGTCACTTAACTTTAACATATCCATATCCAGTGATATATGGGGCTAGGAAACCACTCAGTGGAGTTGTTTATTTGATTCCACAGGTTTATATAATAAGCAGGCATAGCTCTCAGGAGAAATGTGACCAGGGCTCCAAACTGCTCGCTTTAAAGATTGAGTTTCTTGTGAGAATTGAATGAACAAAGTTTGGGAAGAAGGGTATATGTCAGGTGTGTTCAGTACTGAGAGTCAAGGGTTGAACCACAGAAGTTGAAGCGTTGCTACTGGTTTCTCGTGGCAATTGATGCCAGAGTCCATCCTGGCCTCTCTCCTCGTAGCAGCCTTAGCTCCGAGAAAAGTGGCCATGAGTGAATTTGAAGAGCTGTATTAAAACTATCAAGGCCAGGCTTGGCAGGAAGCATTCTTGAGTGAGCCTAATATCAAAGGAAGATTCCACCACCTTCACACTGAGGGGAATACCATGCCTGGGGACTAACTGGCAGACCCTTGCCTCTCTGATGTGGGTGGTTATCAGGTTGGGGGGGTTTGAGCACAGAGCAGATGGCCCATCTGTGGCTTTTTTTTTTTTAATCAGTAAGCCTCCAAGTTAGAAATGGTAACAACTGAGACACAGGGATCAGCAGGGGCAAATGCTTCTGTTAGAAATAAATGTCAGTGAGACCATCAGGTTGCGCAGCCCCCCTGGAGTATTGTTTAGTACTTCATTTAGTCAAGGCTCTTTATCGAGGATTAACTATATGCCAGACGCTTCTTTCTTTATTTGGGATATAAAAGTAAAAAGTGAGGCAAAATGTTTGCCCACATGGAGCTTATTTTCTAGAAATAAATACGTATAAAATATCATTTTAAGTAGAGATAATTGCCATGAAGAGAGAAAGAACCAACGAAGTAGGGTAAGGAGGTAGGGTACGAGTGAGTCTGTGAGTATGGGGGGTGCTCATCTGAGAGAGAGTGGTCAGGGAAGCCTTTCTGAGGGAAGCATATTGAACAGAAAACGAAATGAAGTCAGAGCAAGAAGCACATGTGCATGTGGGTAAGAGTGAGCCCCACGGAGGAAGCAGTGCAAAGCCTGAGGAGGGAAGGAGACTGGCATATTGAGGAGCATTGTGGGAGCAGAGAGAACAAGGAGAATGTAGCAGGAGACAGTGCTGGAGAGGTGAGTAAATGATGGATCCTGAAGAGCCATGCAAATCTGGAAACCATCACCAGGTGAGATTTATCTTTCTGAATAATCATTGACACTATAACTGATGGTGGCAGGGGTGGAGAACTTGCATTAGTTTAAGCAAGGAAAGAAAAAGGAACCATTCACGTGGACATAGGTGGTCACAGTGGAGATGGTGAGAAGTGCTGCCTTGAGGATAAACTCTGAAAGTGAAGCCCACAGAATTAGATTAGATAAAGGTTGGGAGGAAAAGAGAAGAATCAAGATAGGAGGGTGAGAGCAAAAGAGATATCTCTCTAGGGCTGTGACCTTTGCGTAGTACATCGTGATCACTGCTCATTTTTAACTGCACCTCTAAGAAAGATGCTCTTTGAGTCTCTGCCCATTAAGCCCTGAGCTGTGGATCTCTACATAAAGGCCTGGTCCTGTCGTGCTGATCTTCAGCTGCACTAGCTTTTAGCATACACAGCTTGTGTGGATTTCTAGGAGCCAGCGCCAAGGGCACCTGACCCTTACTTCTGGGACTTTTATACACACCTGGGTTAGTGGAACCTTGGAGAAACAAGGACTTCCTGTCCATTTAGGAAAGCAGGAAGTTGTGGTTGCCATACTTTGGGGTAGGGCTTTTTTGTTTCAAGGTGGTGAAACCTGGACTTACTACTTCCACAATATTGCACATAGGCACGAGAAAGTGCCCCAGATGGGTGAAGTATAAGCAGTCAGCTGAGAAAGCTTTAAAATAAACACACCCTCCCCTGCAATGACAACAAAGAATCCTTTGACATATAGTAGCAGAATCTCTGCAGAGAATGGCCAGCCTTCTGAACATGTTGGCCTTAATGAAAATCCCAGATGCTGTTTTGTTTTTTTCTTTTTCTTTTCCCAAAAAATATTTAAAGGTTTTGAGTTTTCATGGTTCCTCCCAAATATGCTCTTCTTTTTCCTTGGGCTGACTGCTAGCAAGCCTGATGTTTTCCTCTCTCTGGACTTAGAGGCTTAACTCAAAGTGGAGGTATTAGTGTAAAGCTTCCTGTCTCTACATGTCCAGACTGAATCATTGAATTGAGGTGAGATGCTTTTCACATTATCCCATCTGTCTCCTCTACCAAGTCCTGAGGAGAAAATTCTGGACACAAGCATTCAGTCATCGACTGGTTGGGAGGATAGTTGAAGCCACAGGCATTTAGCCTCTTCATCTGGGTCATAATGGACTGTGCCTGTGGATAAACTATATCTTTAATTATTTCATTAGTGAAGATTATATGTGAACCTCTCCATTCTTGTGTGCTTCTTACTTCAAGGATTGATCTTTCTTTTATTTTCAAAATTTAATTGACACATTATAATTATTCGTATCTATGGGATACAATTTGATGTTTTGATACATCTATACATTGTAGGGTTCAAACCAGGTAGTTAGCATATCCATCACTTCATGCATCTACCATCTCTGCATGATGAGAACACCCAGCACTTCCCCTGCTCCAGCCGCTTTGTAATACACAACACCCTACTGTTAACTGTCATCACCGTACTGTGCAACAGAACAGAACTTATTCTTCCTATCTAATCATAACTTTGTATCCATTGACCAACCTCTCCCAATCCTCCCTTCTCCATCTCCTCCCTAGACTCTGGTAATCACTGTTCTACTCTCTACTTCTATGAGATCAACTCTTTTTTAGATTCCACATATGAGTGAGATCACGTGGTATTTGTTTTGCTGTGCCTGGCCTAGTTTATGTAATATATCTCCTTCAGGTTTGTCCATTTTGTTTCAAATAACATGATTTTATTCTTTTTTTATGGATGAATAGTATCCCATTGTGTAGATATACCACGTTTTCTTTCTTTATCTGTTGTCGGGCATTTAGGTTGATTCCAAGTGTTGGCTATTGTGGATGGTGCTGCAGTAAACATCAGAATGCAGGTATCTCTTTGATGTACTGATTTCATTGCCTTTAGATATATACCCAGTCGTGGGATTGTTGGATCATAAGCTAGCTATAGTTCTGGTTATTTGAGGAAACTTCAGACTGTTTTCCATAATAACTGTACTAATTTACATTCCCACTAGCAGTGTGTAAGGCTTCCCTTTTCTCCACATCTTCATCAACACTTGTTTTCTTTCTTATTTTTGATAATAGCCATTCTAATTTGAGTGAGGTAATAACTCATTTGGTTTGGATTTGCATTTTCCTGATGGTTAATGATGTTGATACTTTTTTCAGGTACCTGTTGGTAATTTGTATGTCTTCTTTTGAGAAATGTCTAATAAAGTCTTTTGTCCATTTTAATTTTTTTGCTGTTGAGTTATTTAAGTTCATTATATATTCTGGATATTAACCCATTTTCAAATATATAATTTGCAAATATTTTCTCCCATGAGGTGGCTTGTATCTTTACCCTGTTGCTTTGTTTGCTTTGCAAAAGATTCTTAAACTGATGCAAACATTGATCTTTTAACAGCATGAATATGGTTATGAACCAACAAAAAATTCTGACAAGTGCAGGAACAGTTTGGTGGCCCATTTTAATTGAAGGTTTATATGTATGTAGGAGGCAGTGGTAAGGAAGATTAGGGAAAGAGATTTTTTCCTCAATATTCCTTCAAGGCAAATCAATACAAGAAGCTTATACATCCTTGGATGCTACATTCCTAAATGTTTTCTTTGGAGATTCTCATTGCTTTGCAGTTATCTATTGCTGTGTAAAAACTTGTCCCAAAATTTGGAGGTTTAAAACAATAAACATTTCTAATCTCAGTTTCTGTGAGTCATAAATCTGAAGGTGGCTTCTCTGGTTCCTCTGGTTCAGAGTCTCTCACAGTATAGCAATCAAAGTGTTGCCTAGGGCTCTAGCCACTTCAAGGCTTTACCTGGGGAAGATCCATTTCCAGAGTTACTCATGTGGTTGTTGGCACACTCATGATAGCTCTTGGCTGGTGACATCCATTTCTTGCATGTGGGCTTCTCCATAGGGGTACTCACAACATAATCATTTGCTTCCCCTAGATTAAGGGCTCTGAGAAAGAGGGACTGTTGTCAAAGAAGATGGAAGTCACATTTTTTGTAACCTAATCTTGGGAGTGATATCCCATCACTTTTCCTGTATACTGTTCATTAGACTCCTGTCACTAAATCCAGCCCACGGTTGAGGAGAGGGGATAACACAAGGGCATGAGTATCAGTAGGTGGGAAATCACTCCCACTGGGAGCTATTATAGAACCTCCTACAATACTAATTTATTAATTAATAAGCAAATATTTATTAAAGACATGCAAGAAAAGCTTTGCTCTATGAACTAAGGTTTTAGATGGGTCCCAAATGCAAAAACAAAGAGTATATAATGTGTTGTATTTCTCAAAATGTGATTTACAATCTATCTAAGAAGAAACATTTATACTTTAAAAATATCCTACAATAACATCAGTATATACTAAGTGTTCAGACAATTATGAAGGCAGGAAAAACTCACCGTGGAGACAATTTAAGAACTATATTCAATCTAAGAGAGAGGCATGCTCCCATCTGACACAGCTGCTACAGAGTGAGACATTAAAGGCTGACTATTGGGGACATACTTGGAACCAAACAGGAACCAAACCAAATAGCTTTACTCCTTTCTAAAATATTTCAGGATCCTCTCAGAGCCTCATTCCAACAATTCACCTCCATTCTATCCTCCCTCTATGCCACCCCCATACAAATTACGGGGTGCAAAGGAGAGAAAAGTTGAGGGAAAGAGGATTTGTAATTCTAATGATGTGATTTTTTTCTAATTTTGTTTCGGGAACTTTCTGTGGGAATTTGCTGTGGAGCTCCTCCTATTTGTAACTGGAAAGTAAATGATGATTAGAATGATTTTTTTTTCTTTGTGCATATGTGTTTTAGAACCCTGTCCAGGGCCAGCTTTTCATTTTATCAATGAGGAAAACAAGGTCCTGAAAAGTTCAATGACTTACTCAAGTTCACATGAACTGAGAAGAGGGCAGGGATTCGCCATCTTCCAAACCACTGCTCTTTCCGTGACATCTTACTGCCTTCTACCTAATGTGCAAACACCATGGACTCCACCTGGATTTCTCATACATCATATCAGATTTCACCACAAGTCCAGTGACAAAGATTGTCCTTACATCATACTTGAGGAGCTCAGTCAGTTTTGAAGGTGATTCTTTTATTTGCTCATACCAAGTAGTATTAGTTCAGTTTTTTTGATAGCACTATACACACTAAATACCATGTATTTCAAGATTTAGGCCTTTCTTTCCAATGGAATACTCAATTTAAAAAATTAAATACATTTTAATAATGTATGCTTGCCACTGTAGAAGGAAGGGAGCACTAGAATTACATGAAATTGAAATGCAATTTGAATTTGAGTTTCAAAAAAGATTGGTTTACACTTCACAATAACAGAAGTTTACAAAAACATTCTATTGTGTAACACTTAAAGTGGTTGTTTATTTCTGATGTTGTATATACTAAAATGGCACTCCAGGCAAAAATAAAACCCCAAACTTTTTAATTGGAGATTTAAGTAATAGAGTCTTTATTAAACCTATATTTTAAGTTTATGTTTATATATGAATTTAAAACAGTAAATCTCTTATCTCAATTCTTGAACTTCTTGTGCATTTTCCAGATGTCCTCCAGACATGGAGAGGAAATGAAATCGCATCACCTCTTAACTATTCCTTTATCCTCTCTGCACTTTCTTTTTATCCTCCTTAATTTTAGGAATTTATAGTGCTAGCCTGAACTTTCATAAACTGTAATATTCCTGTAGAAAGCGATAACAGCCATGTTAGATGCTGTGATTTTTTTAATAAAAGCGATACAGCATCTTTCCTTAGCAGAAATCTCAAACCAAAAATTAAAATATGGTTAAGCATTACAGATCATGTTGATATCTGTGTCATTACTTTGTGAAGACTAAATCTGTTTAGAAGAATAATGGTGGGTTCTATTTTGCTGTGACAGAGTGATCTCTGGTGATACTGTCAAGTGAAACTGGTAACTTGAAATTAAATAAAGATTTGTGGCTGTAGTTGTACTGACTTATGAAACAACAAAACCTTTCATGAGCACCTATTAAGTCCCAGGGAAGATTGTAAGCATTTCCACAACCTTTACTGTATGGTATATTTCCAAAGGCATTATATTATTACACATTCGGACTCTTCTGTAAGATATGATTGTCTTTACAGAAAGAAGAGGAAATCAGAAAGATAACATGACTTACTAATGATCACACAGTCACTGGGATTGGATCTTAGATTTTCTAAGTCCATGGCTGGCACTTTGCAACTTAAATACTTTTGGGTAAGGAATGGGGTGTCTGTATGCAAGAAATGCACCAAAAGCACTCGCTGACACACAAGTGAATACAAACACAGCTCGGACAAAGTGAAGTGTTCCTTCCGTGCTCCAGTTCTTCTCGGCCATTTGTTGTCTCTTCATCTCACTCTACTTTTCTATATTTGTGAGTTTGGCTATCTTTTTCTCCATAGATTGGATTCTCCTTTATTTGTTTTTCTGCCTGATGAAATTCTAAGCATTGTTTATGTTCCATCTCAGATATAATTAATTCATTTGGTAGTCTTTTGATTTGTATTGACTGTTTCCCTTCTTAGCCTTGGCCTCTCAAAACAATGCTATTTATACATGACTTTGGATGCTTTATCATATGGATATGTGTGAGAATGGCTCATGTTCATATCTGTCTCTTCTTAGGAGGGTCAGCTTTATAGGAGCAAAGAACATGGCTTGTTATTTCTGGGCTTTCCTTGGCTTGTACATAGGAAGAGATAGGTACACATGGAATGAATTTAATTAAGGATTTGTATGAGCAACTCATGGCAATGACAAGCCACGAAATAAAAAATTTACCTTTTCCTTCTTGCGCAGTAGGATTCTGAACTCCTTTAGATGATCAAGCGGCAATTGCAGAGCAGAGGGAGAATGGCAGACACTAGCAAAAGAACCAGTTGTGACAGGTGGTGGTAGTAAGAGTGACAGAAAGCAGGGATGTCTGAGGTTTCCCTTTACAAGCACTCATCCTACCTCACTTGCCTGCTTTATTATGCATCTTTCCTATTCAACTGAAAACTTCGTGAGCTTGTTCCCCATTGTATTCTCAATGCCTAGCATCATGCAGGGTTAGAGGAGGAGCTTAGAAATATTTTTTGACTGAATGACATGACAGTTGAGTCTTTTACAGTAAAAATAGAAAAGGGGAACACATGTCATGTACAGATGGTTTATTCACTGATCATAGTCTCTGCATAAAGTGTTTTGATTGTTAGTGTGTGTTTTCGTTCATTTGAATGGCTTATGCCTTTGTAAATTTTGTTTGTTTCCCACTTTGGTATGTCTTTCTGTTTTTAGTTACCTTTCTACGCTGCCAAAACAAAATAAAGCCAGCAGCTGCCTCCACTTGTGTTGCCTTTAGTATTGTTTTACAATCTCTCATCTCTTTAACTATATCCTAAGTATATAGTTGGGGAGGAAGGAATTTGCAGAGAAAGCCAAGTCAGTCAATCCTGTTTTAGCACAGTAATTTACTCTTAGATGTCTAGCGGTGGAACTAACTTACTTCAGTTCTTTCCCAAAGATTCTTTGCATGCTAAGTATCTTCTTCAACACCATCCTACTTATTCATTATTTTCTCAGTTTAAAATAAAATCATCACAGGGATGTTCCTTCCAGGAATATATATTAATTGGACCCACTTCTTTTTCTTTTCTTTTTTTTTTAAGTGGAGAATTCATAAACCTAAGTGGGAACTTTTATTTAAAATATTCTAGATGTAAGAGATTTAAATATACTTAAAGGGGGCTAATTAAATTTGATATGTACTCTCTCAAGGGAAATGAAACAGCAGCGTATGTGACTTTCATTAGCGACTTTACCATAGAGATATAACCCAAAGTACTTAATAGGGAAAATTTGATGATTAATTTGATTGACTTTTAAATTGTTTGTTAGTGGGTATTATATACTTACAAAATACATCTTTTGTGTATTTTCTGAATAGCTGTCTTGGGAAAAAGGCAAGATGTTACTTATAGTAAATCAAACCTTGTCAACTGTTGGTAAGGCAGTCAGGGTCTCATGTCTCTCTGCATATACCAGACTGGGTCTCTTGATTTTCTGAGATCATGAGATGTGAAGAAAACTGTAATTAGTTGTCAAATTAAAACATCATTTCATGTAAGAATTCAGAATGGGGTCATCTTTGATACAATGACTATAATAGTAAAAGCCAATCTAATGTATATTCACAAAGAAATTGTTTAAAGAATAAGGAGGGAACTCTATGATATCTTGTAGACTGATTGTTATTTTCATCCAGAAAAAAAAATATTTACTAACATTTACAATCCCAAAGAAACCCACGACAAAGTGAACCTAAAATTTAATAAGGTTTGATTTATTATTTCATGATATTTTTGTTAACTATTTTCTTAAGTGGACATTGAAGTACAGTTAAATATAATTCATGTATTGCATGTTGCTTTTGTATTTCTTTTTTTTTTTTTTTTTTTTTTTGAGACGGAGTCTCGCTCTGTCGCCCAGGCTGGAGTGCAGTGGCGCGATCTCGGCTCACTGCAAGCTCCGCCTCCCGGATTCACGCCATTCTCCTGCCTCAGCCTCCCAAGTAGCTGGGACTACAGGCGCCCGCCACTACGCCCGGCTAGTTTTTTGTAGTTTTAGTAGAGACGGGGTTTCACCGTTTTAGCCGGGATGGTCTCAATCTCCTGACCTCGTGATCTGCCCGCCTCGGCCTCCCAAAGTGCTGGGATTACAGGCGTGAGCCACCGCGCCCGGCCTGTATTTCTTTAGCCTAAGAAAAGGGATTCAAATACCACTTGCGCCAAATGTATATGGACAATTCCCAAATTTGCATGTCTGGCCTAGACTTTCTTCTGTACTCCAGACTTGCACACTTGACTTATCTACTTTATGTATAGTAATCGATAAAGTTTGTATATTTGTCCCTGCCCAGATCTCATGTAGAATTGTAATCTCCAGTATTGTAGGAGGGGCCTGGTGGGAGGTGGTTGGATCATGAGGGTGGATTTCTCATGAATGGTTTAGCACCATCTGCTTGGTGCCATTCTTGTGATAGTGAGTGAGTTCTCGAGAGATCTGGTGGTTTAAAAGTATGCGGCACCTACCCCCCACCTTGCTCCTGATTTTGCCATCTGATGTGCCAGCTCTCCCTTTATCTTTCGCCATGATTGTAAGCTTCCTAAGTCCTCATCAGAAGCTGAGCAGGTGCCTGGTGCCATGCTTCCTGTACAGCCTGCGGAACTGTGATCAAATCAAACCTCTTTTCTTCATAAATTACCCAGCCTCAGGTATTTCTTTATGGCAATGCAAGAAAAGCGTAGTACAGTAATAGACAGCTCAAACTTCAGACATCCTAAACTGAGTGCCTGGCCTTCCTCATCTCCATTCTTTTTTTTTTTTTTCATCTATGTCCCTGCAAAGGACATGATCTCGTTCTTTATTATTATTATTATTATACTTTAAGTTCTGGGATACATGTGCAGAACATGCAGGTTTGTTACATAGGTATACACATGCCATGGTGGTTTGCTGCACTCATCAACCCGTCATCTACATTGGGTATTTCTCCTAATGCTATCCCTCCCTTAGCCCCCACCCCCTGACAGGCCCTAGTGGGTGATGTTCCCCTTCCTTAGTCCATGTGTTCTCATTGTTCAACTCTCACTTATGAGTGAGAATATGCAGTGTTTTGTTTTCCGTTCCTGTGTTAGTTTGCTGAGAATGATGGTTTCCAGCTTCATCCATGTCCCTGCAAAGGACATGAACTCATCCTTTTTTATGGCTGCATAGTATTCCATGGTGTATATGTGCCACATTTTCTTTTTACTTATTTATTTATTATCGTTTTTAATTATACTTTAAGTTCTAAGGTACATGTGCACAACGTGCAGGTTTGTTACATATGTATACATGTGCCATGTTGGTTTGCTGCATCTATTAAATCGTCATTTACATTAGGTATTTCTCCTAATGCTATCCCTCCCCCTCCCCACACCCCACGACAGGCCCCAGTGTGTGATCTTGCCCACCCTGTGTCCAAGTGTTCTCATTGTTCAATTTCCACCTATAAGTGAGAACATGCAGTGTTTGGTTTTCTGTCCTTGTGATAGTTTGCTCAGAATTATGGCTTCTAGCTTCATCCATGTCGCTACAAAGGACATGAACTCATCCTTTTTTATGGCTGCATAGTATTCCATGGTGTATATGTGCCACCTTTTCTTAATCCAGTCTATCATTGATGGACATTTGGATTGGTTCCAAGTCTTTGCTATTGTGAATAGTGCCACAATAAACATACGTGTGCATGTGTCTTTATAGTAGCATGATTTATAATCCTTTGGGTATATACCAAGTAGTGGGATTGCTGGGTCAAATGGTATTTCTAGTTCTAGATCCATTCTTATCCCCCTCATTACCTCAGTTAATGACAACATCACCCTTCCAGTTGCCCAGGTCAAAACCCTGGAAGTTACTCTTGACTCTTTCCTTTCCTTAGCCTCAATCCATGGAGTTTCAGAATGCACACAGAATCTGACCATTTTTTACCACTTCATTCTACTGGTCGAGTCCGAGCCCTCATTATTCCTTGCCTGGGTTTACTACAAGAGCCTCCGAGTACTCTCTGCTTCAAAATTTGCCCTACTGCAGTCTATTCTGAGCATAGCAACCAGACTGTTCCTTTAAAAATAAAGGTATATTATACCACTCCTCTGATCCAAAACCTCAAGTAGCTCTCCATTTCAGTCAGAGTAAATGCCACGATCCTTACAATGGCTACCAAGGCTCTACATGATCTGGCCTTCCATTACCTCTCTAACTTTGTCTCCAACTACTCTCTACTTGGTTCATGCAGCTGTAGCCATACTGGCCTCCTTTCTGTTCCTGGAAAATGACTCTGCCTGGAAAACTCTTTCCTCAATACCCACATGGTTCACTGTCTTTTCTCCTTCAAGTCTTCCTTCAAATGTCATCATCTTAATGAGGGCTTCCCTGATGCCCTTTTGAAAAATTACCATCTGTGCCTCTAGAGTGGAAACAGCATATCTTATGTTCACATTCATGAGTCCTATTCATGTTTTGGGTAGTTTGTTTATTCTCTCTAGGTTTCAGCTTCCTCATTATAAATTTAGGGATATAAACAAAATTTTCCATAAAGCCCTTTGGGCTCTAATATTTTAAAAATTCTATGAGACCAATTTGAACCTGCCAAACTGAGTAGTTACATTTGATCTTGAAAGTCTATTATCAGTGAAGGAGATACAGGTCCCATTTTCCCCAAACTCAGCTCCTGTACGAAGTATTAAATACAGCATGAGATGTTTACTAAGGCAAATATTGCATTTCTGAAATAAGTCTAATTTAAAAGTGTGTTTGTTTTTGCTAGTCCCAGGTCACTTCGACTAACTGAATAGTTGGAAGCCTTAAAAAAAGAAATAGAATTCTCTGGGTCTTGGTTTCCTCATCCATGAGGATACTGTGGTAGATGATCCCCAAGTTCCTTTCTAGATTTAGAATTCTTCCTTTAGAGGAGGAAAATCAGACATTTTCCCTCATAGTCATGACTGACTCTTCAACTAGTCTTATAAAATATTCATATGCAAGGTGATGACTACAGACAAACTCCCTTGGCTTTGGGTAGCATGGCACCATTCCCACTGAGTATGATTGTAGATATTTCTTATTATAGTTCTGTTCATATGCTTTCATACCACAGAGACCTCAGAGTTTAGAATGAGTGCCACTCTAAGAAATATACCTGTGCATTTATTTTCAATGTTAGATGGTTATGAAAAAGACAAAGTAGAATGAATACACTCAGCAGCTGCTTCATTCCCACATGTTTGAAAGCTTCCTGTTAGAATTGAGAGTTTTATTATGTGTGACTATAATGATCAGAAAATCATAGATATCTGAATATTTTAATGTAAATACTCAAAAGGTTTTTGGAGGGAAGGCCCTTTTCCAGTCTAATGTGCTTAATACTTTTAATTCTGACAAAGATCAGTTTTCTGTTTTCCTTCACAAAGAATACTGGTGAATAACAGCCAACTTAAATTATCAAGTTAACAAATCATTTTTTCTTTATGAACTCTACTTAAACATAATTATTAAACTATAATTTTAAATCAGCACTTAAAGACTATTTCTATATAGAATTGAAGCAAATAATATTTTGTAAGCAGTAACTTCTAGGTATATAACTACTTATGGATTCTAGGGTGTGATTATATAATTAACCAGAAAGATTGTATAAAAAAGACATTTTCTGGTTTTATTCTTCATGGAAGTGGCAGCCGAAAGGCATAAAAGTAACTTCTGATTTAATTTTGTTATTTGGAGTCATGGTGCTTTGAAATGTATGTTTCTGTTGTTTTCAAATGTTTTTGAGGTGTTATCTGACAAATTTACACCAAATTCCTTTGAGAATACAAAGCAAATAAGATTGAGATGACCAGTCTCCACAGGGCAAAGCCTGGGAACCTAGAAAATGAAAGCACAGATTCTCCAGAATACAACCATTCAACATCTGATTTCCTATTGGGTCATGTGACTAATGTTATTCATTCGTTCATTCATTCATTCGTTCGTCAGTCAGTATTGTTCCAAGTTAGGCCTTGTAGAGACTTTGGGGATGTGATTATCTTGTTACAGGGAGTCTATCAGGAACAATGCACTAAAATGCCCAAGGATAAACCAAAGGATCTTTAATGACATTGGTACTTATTCTAGTTCTTTTTCCATTTTGTAGAGAGCGTATTTTTGTGGAACTGTGAAACTAATTGAAATCATATGTCACCACTCTTGGTGTTTCCAGACAGGCAGACCAG